>NC_000015.10:38125358-38428389 GCF_000001405.40 Homo sapiens | reverse complement strand
TGTACAAGGTGCTGAACTATATACCCTGAGGGGAAAATAAATAATAATCCAATATCATCCTGTTTTCAAAGCTATAGTTACTAGTTATAGTCAAGGCCAAAAGTAACATAGGCAGTCAGTCTTAATAGCACCTCAGAGGCAGGAGAGGCCATTACAGACCAGCAGCAGTGGAGAAAACTCTTCCACCAAGGCACAGGAAGGGAGTGGGGCTTTGACTGAAGAGTAAAATTTCAACCTGGGTGAGAAAGAAGACATTCCAGAAAGGGGTTAAGGTAAGGAAGTTGAAAACAATTATGGAAAGAGTAACCAGGACAGCTCGGGCCAGGAGAAGACCTCCAAAAGGGAGAGGAATGGAATATAAGTTTGGAAATGTAGATTGAGACCAGTCTTGAAACACCAGACCTCCAGATTTCTATTTTATCTGGTAGGAACTAAAGTGCCAATGCAGATTTCTGATTAGAGGAATATCAAGACAAAAAGAGGTTTTTAGTCAGGCATGGTGGCTTGTGGTTGTAATTCCAGCTACTCAGGTACTCAGGAGGCTGAGGTGGGAGGATTGCTTGAGGCCAGAAGTTTGTGACCAGCCTGGGTTATATAGCTAGAGCCAGTCTCAAAAGAGATGAAGAGAGAGAGAGACGAGAGAGAGAGATTTTCAGGAAAATATATTTGGCAATTCAATGTTTCTGACTGGAGAAGAGAATGGAGAATGCTGGATCCTGCTGCTATTCTTTACACAAAAGGTGACAGAAGTGTGAGTGAGCCTCTCAGCCAAAGGCAGGATGCAGCTAACCTCACCCCTACCTCTACATCCCATACCACCACCTGCTGGAGTAATTCAGGTTGATCCTCTTGTTGGCCTCACAGTTTACAGATCAGGCTAACATTTCTTTGAGCAAAGATTTCTCATTCAACAATCATTTTTTGAGAACTGCTGCTGCAAGGAATCATTCCAGTTGTATTTTGGGTCCTAGCTTTTCCATGTTATTTAATTAAGAATGCAAAAACACAGGGGTTTGACTGACTTCACTCACAGCTGGCCCAGAAGCAGGGATGTCAGAACCACCTGGAGGGCTTTCTAGACAGGCACTTCCAGGCTCCATCCTCAGAGATTCTGATCCAGTGGAGGGGATGGGGTCTAGGAATCTGTATATTTTAAAGTTCTTTAGATGACTAAATAAAAAGTAAAGTTTGGAAAAAACTCTTGTACTAAATATTTGCATATATTTTCAGTCTGAGCAATAGCACATAGATCTGAGAACTTCCCCCTTTGAATTGTACATTTAAAATAATAATTTTAAGGCATGATGGTGTGTGCCTATAATCTCAGCTACTTGAGAGGCTGAGATGGGAGGATTTCTTGAGCCCAGGAGTTCAAGGCTGTAGTAACCCATGATTGCACCACGCACTCCAGCCTGAGTGACAGAGTAAGAACTTGTCTCTGAAAAATAAATCAGTCAATAAAATAAAATATAATAAATTTTAAGAACATGTTCCAAAAGCATGGGGGAGGGAAAGGACAAGGAGACTTAGTGAGGGACCTTGAATTTCAATCCAGTCTTTCCAATTCTCCTCTAAATATTCTGTGTATCTATTTTTCTCACCAATGAGTCATCACAAGTACCTTTTATGGCATCCAACACCCACTGTGCCACCGAGCCACCATTTAGAGTGCAGATCTTCATTATGCCTTTCACGTCATCCTCTCTGCACTTTAAGATTTAGGCTCCTAGGTATTTTCCAGTCTAAACAACTATTCCAGCTGCCAGGCCACTCACTGGGTGGTATCATCCTTATTACCTATGCCAGTGATTCACCTGCCCAGGCCTGGTTTTTTTACTGATACATATTACACATATTTATGCAGTATGTGTGATATTTTTTCATATGCACAGAATGTGTAATGATCCAGTCAGGGTATCTGGGGTGTCCATCACCTTGAGTATTTATTATTTCTATGTGTTGGGAACATTTCAAGTCCTCTTTTCTAGCCATTTTGAAATATACAATACATTGTTGCTAACTATAGTCACCTTACTTTGCTATCAAACATTAGAATGTATATCTTTTTTTTTTTTTTTTGAGACAGAGTCTTGCTCTGTCTCCCAGGCTGGAGTGCCGTGGCCTGATCCTGGCTCACTGCAACCTCCGCCTCCTGGATTCAAGCAATTCTCCTGCCTCAGCCTCCTGAGTAGCTGGGATTACAGGCACGTGCCACCGCATCCGGCTAATTTTTGTATTTGTAGTAGAGACGGGGTTTCACCACATTGGTCAGGCTGGTCTCAAACTCCTGACTTCGCGATCCACCCACCTGGGCCTCCCAAAGTGCTGGGATTACAGGCGTGAGCCACCGCACCTGGACATATATCTTCTATCTAACTGTATGTTTGTGCCCATTGACCAATCTCTCTTCATCTCCCCTAACCCACTTTATGTACCCTTCCTAGCCTCTGATATCAGTCATTCTATTCTCTACCTTCATGAGATCAACTTCTTTAGCTCCCACATATAAGTGAGAACACATGACATTTGTCTTTCTGTATCTTATTCCCTATAGTTCCATCCATGTTGCTGCAAATAACATGACTTCATTTTTTTTTTTTGTATAGCCTTTAAGATAGATCTACTCAGGTGATTCTGATGACCAGCCAGATTTGGGAACTACAGCCTAAATGCTATTTTTAAAAAACCCTCAGATTTATTATTTTACAGTTCTGGAGGTCAGAAGTCTGAAATAAGTCTCACTAGGCTAAAGTTAAGGGGTTATTGGGGCTACTGCCTTCTGGAGGCTTTGAGGGGAGAATCTATTTCCTTGTCTTTTTAGCTTCTATAGGCTGCCTGCATTCCTTGGCTCATGGCCCCTTCTTACATCTTCAGAGCCAGCAGTGTAGCATCTTCACTTTCTCTTTCTCCTCTCTCTCCTCTCTCCCTCCCTTGCTCTCCTTTTCCCTCGCTTTCTCCTACCTCTTTCTCTCTCCCTCTCCCTGCCCTGCTCTGCTTACCTCACCTTCTCTCACTCTGACTCCCTTGTCTTCCTCTTATAAGAACTCTTGTGATTACATTCTTGGGATTACATTGGGCCCACCTGAATAATCCAGGAAAATCTCAGCATGTCAAGGTTCTTAACATTTGTGTGTGATCTCCATAAGAGCTATTTTCAATAGCTTACTGCAGCTCTTCTGAGAGTGTTGAGTCCCTTCCAGGTGAATGGTACAGCCTGTGTTCTAAAGGAGATAAACCCCTGATTCCTTTGGAAGACTCTGAAACTAATCAACAAAACAAAAAATGAGTTCACAAGCTGAAACACATTTTTTCACACAGAGAGCAAGAAAGTTCTGCCAATATCAAAGTCCCGAATAAGTGCATCAAGTAAAACCTATTTCCCTATTCATAAAAGAAGGAATAAGAAGGTTTCGTGGGTAAGGGATTTAAGTTATGAGATTTCCTATACTGAGTTAGGAATAAAATAAAATTAATTCAAACTGATAGAAAGCACTTTGTTTAAATTTCATTGGATAGTTCTAATCCAAGCTCGTCCAACCCGAGGCCCCAAGACCACATGCGACCCAGGATGGCTTTGAATGCGGCCCAACACAAATTCATAAATTTTCTTAAAACATAATGAGATTTTTTTGTGTTTATTTTTTAGCTCAGTGTGGCCCAAGACAATTCTTCTTTTCCAGTGAGGCCCGGGGAAGCAAAATGATTGGACACTGCTGTTCTAATCTGATTGGATTTGTAACTGGAAATTCAATAAAGGTAGAAGTTTCTGAGTTCAAAGTATTGCTTAAAAACAAAACAAAACAAACAAATACCATCATGGGCTGACATAAATTCTGCCCAGCCAGGGGTAACTTCTGAAAATACCCATTGAAAAAAAATGTTTTACACTTTTTAGAGCAAAGTGAAACTTGTGGTTGGAAAGACATTTACAAGATTTTTGTTTTCTTGGAAGCTTAACATGTCCAAACAAACATTTTGCTTTCAGTTTCTAGAATGTAAAAGAAAACAAAAACTTTAGCAACGAATATACAAATTGATCCCCTCAACTGAAATAGCCTTCACATTCAGAAAGAGGAGAAAAGTTGCAAATATATATATAAACACAGAGTCTCTCACTTTGTCACCCAGGCTGGAGTGCAGTGGTGCTACCTCGGCTCACTGCAGCCTCCACCTCCTGCGTTCAAGCCCTCCAAGTAGCTGGGACTGCAGGTGTGCATCACCACACTCTGCTAATTTTTGTATTTGTGGTAGAGATGGGATTTCACTATGTGGGTCACGCTGCTCTTGAACTCCTGAGCTCAAGAGACCCACTCACTTTGGCCTCCCAAAGTGCTGGGATTACAGGTGCGAGCCAACCTGGCCGGACATTTTTTTTTTATTTCATGCTAGATAAAAAATCTTTTAAGCCTGTGGTAGTAATGGGAATTGTCTGATAGAATTTAGTACAAGTTACAAAGATACATTCTAATCAAATTCTACAACTAAAACGTGGGTCAGATTACAGTATAACTATTATTAAAGTATAATAATCATAACACAATAATGTCATAATTATTTTTAAAAATTTAACAGTACTATATTTCCTTAATTTTAATATAACACTGCTTAGAAAATGCACTATATATTTAATAGGAGGTTTTATTGGGGTGGAGAATGTATATGTAGATTGTAAGATTTCAGTAATGATGTCAAAAAAGGTACAAGAAAAATAAGATAATTTGTTCATAAATAATCAATCCTTAAAAATAGACAGGCTAACAAAAGAAAAAAATAGAAAAACTGGACTTAATCAAAGTTAGAAGTGTTTGTGCTTCAAAGAACACTACCAGCAAAGTGAAAAGGCAGCCGACATAGTGGGAGAAAATCTTTGTAAGTCATACATGTGATCAGGGCCTTATATCTAGAATATATAAAGAACTTTTAAAACTCAACAATAAAAAGACAACCCAATTAAAAATGGGCAAAAAATCTGAATAGACATGTATCCAAAAAAAATTTACAAATGGCCAATAAGCACATGGAAAGACACTGGACATCATTAGTCATCGGGGAAATGTAAATCAAAACCACAGCCACTAGGATGGCTATAATCAAAACATCAGATAATCACAAGTGTTGGCAAGGATGTGGAGAAATTGGCACCCTCACACTTTGCTAGTGGGAATGTAAAATGGCACAGCCACTGGGGAAACTAGTCTAGCAGTTCCTCAGAAAGATAAACATAGACCCAGCAATTTCATTTCTATTTATACACCTAAGAGAAATGAAAACATATGTCCATACAAAAACTTGTACATAAATGTTCAGAGCAACATTATTTATAATAGCCAAAAGGTGGAAACAAGTCATATGTCTATCAACTGACATTGACTACAAATTAGCAAGATGTGATACATCCATACAATGGAATACTATTTGGCCATAAAGAGAAACAAAGTACTGGTACATGCCATAACATGGATAAACCTCAAAAATAGTATGCTAAGTAAAAAAAGTCAGTCATAAATACTATATATTATTCCACTTATGTGAAATGTCCAAAAAGGGTATATTTATACAGAGACAAAGTAGATCAGTAGTTGCTTAAAACTAGGGGATGCGAGAGGATTGGGTAATGGTAGCAGAAAACATATAGGGTTTCTTTTTGAGGTTAAAAAAAAGTTTCTAAAATTGGTTGTAGTGATGTTTGCAGAACTCTGTGAAGATACTAGAGACACTTTGAGTGAGTTGTATGATACTTGTGGTATAGATCTCAAAAAAACTGTCAACTGCCCCTTCATCAAGATAAGAAGACATGTTGAATTTGCGTCACCCAAAGCAAAAACAGAGTAGATAATCAACACCCTCTATTCCCTAAACACTCCTCCTGATTTTTAAAATTATCATGAAAGATACCACAATTCATTCAGTAACCCGTGTGGTAAACCTTGTTCCTCCCCTTAGCTCACCCTTCATATACAACCTAATGGAACACAGTTTCTGGGTATATCATAGGCTAAGAAACACAGTGCAGCAAACAAAACACAATTTGAAGGTAACTGAAGTTTTTTTACTGGATTTCTCAAACACTGTGGAGGGGATACACAATTCTCAGTAACGCTCTTAGAAATTCCCCACTGACCAGGCACGGTGGCTCTTGCCTCTAATCTCAGCACTTTGGGAGGCCAAGGCAAGTGGATCACCTGAGGTCAGGAGTTGAAGATTAGCCTGGCCAACATGATGAAACCCCATCTCTATTAAAAATACAAAAATTAGCCAGGTATGGTGGCACATGACTGTAATTCCAGCTACTCGGGAGGCTGAGGCACAAGAATCACTTGAACCCGGGGGGTGGAGGTTGCAGTGAGCTGAGATGGTGCCACTGCACTCCAGCCTGGGTAATGGAGTGAGATTGTCTCAAAAAATTAAAAAAAGGAAAAAAGAAAAAAGAAATCCCCCACTCTTCTTCCATCTGCTCCTTTCATGAATCTCATGCCTCTCAGCTTCTCTCTACTTTCCCCAAATTACCCTGAAATTTCCCTTCATACTTTTGGCTTTCTGCCACTTTGTTCACTCCCTCCACCAAAGTCTGCATTTTTAAATGCTTAGGAAATGGTTATGTTAATTAGCTTTATTTAATCTTCCTACAACATATACATATATTAAAGCATTACATTGTACCCCAGAAATACATACAATTATTATTTGTATTCAATTTTAAAATAAATAGATGAATAAACCCATGGCTGAGTTGTGGAAGGAACTGAGTAGTCACAGCCAGCACCCTCTTGAAAAGGCGAAGGGGACGAAGGGCTCTTTCAGATGAGGATCTCATGTTAGGCTATTTGTTAGGGGAACCTACTTACAGGACTGCACCGTACAGCTGCTCAGGGTGTGCACAGCACAAACCACACAATCCAATAGGCAGTGCTGTGCTTCCCTGGCCTCATGCTTCCATGTGGAGGAACTTTCATTAGTTTCTGGGCTCTTCATGACTCACTTCTCTGCCAGACTGAGCTATTTGATCAATGAGATTGTAAAAGCAGCCTGATATGCCCCAGTCAGCCACTTTCCTTTGTCTTTTCAACTTTGCCTGCCTACCGGGAGAGTGCATTCTGTTTCCTCTACTCCATGTGGTAAGGAGCCTCCCTTTCTGAGGGAGGCCTAGAGCTGTCCAGCTATGCCAGTGTCTGCATGTGTAGCTTTAATTTATGGGTGATGTAGTAGTGAGTCTATTTGGCTACAGATTTAAGGCTGTGCCATGCAATCAGCTTTAAAGGTGATAAGGGTGATTTTTTTATTAAAAAAAAAAAAAAAGAAGAAAGAAACAGGGTCTTACTATGTTGTGCAGGCTGGTCTCAAACTCCTGAGCTCAAGTGATCCTCTTCCCTTGGCCTCCTAAATGTTGGGATTACAGGTGTGAGCCATCATGTCCAGCCAATAAAGGTAATTTTAAAAAATCTTTATTTTTATTAATCCTATGTATACCTATCACCTGCTCCCAAATTCCAGAAATAAGAAAGGGAGTTTATGTACTGACTCTTTTGGCTTTTTCTTCAATTCCATGAGCTGCCTCCAATTTTCCAATAATTAATTTTTAGCCTAAGTTAGTGTCTGTTGCTTGCAACTAACAGAAGCAAATGGAAACATCACTCAATACATATTTAACTAAAACAATATTTATAATAAAATCAATATCAAGTTTTGGATTATATGCTATAAGATAACACTTAGATGTATTTAAATGAAAAGAAAGCTTGTATCCAGAATTCTTTATAGCTGCAACCTGGAACTTCAAAACACCCTGGAGCCCAAATCATAAACTGTTGACAGCAGAACTCATTTTTTATGGCATTCTCATAAATCCTATTATTATTAACTTGGCATGCCAGGTTTTTCCTAAATTACAGCCAATTCTATTCATTATTGTTTTGTGATTTATTTCAAAACGATTGCAAGACAAATTTAATGATCATTAAGCTAGAATTGGGCATGATAATGATTTTTGAATGTAGGTTAATTTTACCTGGAGTCTGATATCTTTAAAATATACTTTTTTCTTCCCCAAAAGAAATACATAATACCAAATTATTCCTTTCTCCAATAAATCATCATTTAAAGCTATTTTTTAAGGACCAAGTAATTTTCATGTCATTCCAAAGTACATGCTAAGAAAAATGTATGGTATTAGATAAGATTTAGCACTGCTGGAAATGAAGTACGCTCTCGAAACAGAATAAGTATCTTTATAAATGAAGTGAGTGAAAGCATAAATGTATCGTAGGTGTTTCCTTAGTCTACTCTTTTTTGTACAAGTTGTAATAATTTTCAGTGATTCTGTTTTCTTGAAGCGCTGAGATAGATATTGGTATCATTAGAGTGATGAGGTAATGTGGCATTTGCTGCAAACCAGGAGTTGGAAATAAAATGGAGAGGGATTGAAAAGACACCCTGAATATAGGATCATAGAAAAATTTTGGAGGAATTTCTCAGTTTTGTCGTATACAGATTGTATCAAGCTTGATTTTTTATAAGCAGAATGTTAAATTGCTGATTGTCCATGTAAATCTGGCAGCATGAGGAAGACCCCATTATTCTAGTCCCAAAATCATCCTCAACCACTTACTGATTTCTGAAACTCCACCAGGTATCCTGTGTCAGCTCTTTGACTTGACATTGTGTCAGTTATGAGAATACTAACACCATTCAGCTCTGGGATTCATGCTGGTTTAGGAACTTGGCATAGTGGAAAAAATCTGTTTTAATCCTAGTATCGGCTGAGCACAGTGGCTCAGGCCTGTAATCCAGTGCTTTGGGAGGTCAAGGTGGGAGGACTGCTTGAGTCCAAGAGTTCAAGACATCATGCCTGGTAAACATGGCAAAAGTCTGTCTCTATTGAAAATACAAAAATTAGCCAGATGTGGTGGCGTGTGCCTGCAGTCCCAACTACTTGGGAGACTGAGGTGGGAGGATTGCTTGAGCCCAGGAGTACAAGGCTGCAGTGACCTATCTTCATGCCACTGCACTCTAGCCTGGGTGACAGAGTGAGACTCTGCCTCAAAAAAAATTCCTAGTTCTATGATGTGCTAGGTTATAGAAACACCTATTAAAAAGATTCAGGTTTCAGTGGTACATGCCATGGTACTGATCATTTTATAATAGCTCTTTGAGAGAGGACAACCCTCCCAACATTGTTTTCCAGAGAGAGAGCTTCAGATTCTCACTGGTCTATTAGAGACCAACGCTTTCAGATTACAGCATGGTCACTCCCAAAAGGGCTGGGACCGTCTCAAAGACCCTGACCACCTCATCCATAAGCCAGAGTGAGACTTGTCCACTAATCCCATCTCCCTGTTGCTTTAGGGCAATTTTATTTCAAAAGACCCTTAGCCAGTGTCCATCTCAGTGGCCCATCTCAAGAGGACTCCCTGACTCTTTCAGGGTGTAGGACTTGGGATATCATTTCCTTCTATCCCAGGACAACTTGGTCTCCTTATGCCCACTTCCTCCCCCGGGGCTTGTTCTGCATGTTCAGGCCATGGCATAGCTTCTGCTAATCCACTCAAAAAGTGCACAGGTTTTCCCCAATACTTGGGACCTTTTGGCTTTAGATTTTCATAACAAATCAAGGCCATTCAAATAACCGAAAAATTTGTTTCAAAGTGATTTCTTGTTAATACTGAGTAGCAACTGGAACAGTCTTTCCCTTAAAAAAGTAAAACTTTTGATAGGGCATACTGCTACATTAATATGTTATTCTCCAGTTGGCATCACACATTTTAAACTACATGAACAAAAAGTGCTTATAGCATCTCCATGGTCTATAGTTAATTATTGCAACAACCAATATTCACTTCAATTTGGCAAGCCATTACTGTGGGCACTCACTGAGTGGCCAGTCACCAGACTAAGTACTTTAAATTTAATGCTTCTAACAGCCCTGTGAGGCTCAAGGAGGTTAAGTAATTCTGGGTAAGTTCACAGGCTAATCAGCGGCAGAGCTAGGAGGTGGTTTGTCTGGCTTCGTCTTTGACTCGCTGCCCTGCCTCTCCAACATAAGAGATGCAATGTTGGCACTTAACATGAGAAGCAAAACTTCAGTGGTTCCTAACTTATCTCCCACTGTCCCCCACAACAGGTACACATGCACACGCACACACACACACCCCCCACCACCCACACACACACTATACAAAGTTAGCAAGTGTATTAGTCTGTTTTCACACTGCTGATAAAGACATACTGGAGACTGGGCACCTTACAAAAGAAAGAGGCTTAATAGACTCAGTTCCACGTGGCTGGGGAAGCCTCATGATCATGGTGGAAGGTGAAAGGCACATCTCACATGGCAGCAAACAAGAGAAGAGAGCTTGTGCAGGGAAATTCCCCTTTATAAAATCATCAGATCTCATGCAACTTATTCACCATCACAAGAACAGCACGGGGAAAAAAAAAAAAGAAAAAAGAAGAACAACATGGGAAAGGTCTGCCCCTATGATTCAATTAAGTCCCACCAAGTCTCTCCCACAACACATGGGAATTGTGGGAGCTACAATTAAAGATGAGATTTGGTGGAGACACAGTCAAACCATATCCCCAAGTAACTTTCACAATTTCTTCACCTTATACACATATACGTCTCAGTGCAGCTATACACACACATACACACACATACACAAGAATATAGGCACATTGTTCTTGTTGTTGAGCCTGTCCAAAAGGAGTTCTGTACACACTGCAGGTCTAATGAGCCTTACTGAGGAAAAGAGCCAGTGATTTAGTAATTGGCTCTATTGGGACTAATGTTTGGCCCCCAGGACTTAAACCCTTGGGTGATTAAGGTACAACAGCCATCCATCAACCATCCTTCCAAGAAGATGGGGAAGAAACTCATTCTGAGAAGAAAAATGTCAGAACCCACAAAAGTTTTCTCAGTCTTTTCAGGAGAACACAAGGCATTACCTTCCACTGTTTTCTGGTTCAGATGGTTTCCTAGTTTGCAAACAGCAACAACAAACCAAGATATCAAGCCAAATAAAAGACTATGTCAGAAGACACAGCGTATACTGTGTTACAGCCTGGTGACAGAGTTTACTAGATAGTAGAGGGTATGTTTTCTATTCTCATCCGCTCCAGTCCCACTTTGGCAGGGGAGCTACCCCATGGAATAGATCAAGACAATGTCAGGGCAACAGATGGAGGTACAGAAGGGGGGTTTGGGGAAGAGTCATGCCAACCCACGGTGAAACATCTTGTCCAGAAAAAGCAGTGCCTGGCAATGATCTGAGATCCATATGATAAAAGAGAAAAGGAAAAGGATATCAAGGGGGTAGGAGGAAGACGCTAGAGTGTTAGGAGTATGTGTAAGACAATCTGGCCCAAGAAGAGAACAATTTCCATGGTGAAGACTGAGACAGAGGCTACTGTTCAGTTGCACTGACCTTATAGCCCTCCATTTAAATTTCTTATTTTTAAAACAAAAGCTAAGACATATTGCTCATAGGACCAGAATACTTTAAAATTTAGAATAAGAATTATAGACTTCTATAACCTTAGAGCTGACAGGGACGTTAGAGTTTAACTATTCTGTGTTAACGCTCCATGCTGAATTTTCTTTACACCACCCTTGACAGATGCTCTCCTAGCCTTTCCTTGGACATCATCCCCTCAATGGCACCACATTCCTGCAGCATACAGGTCAGATTGTTAGGCCCTCAATAAAAGCCTAAAAGCCCAAAGTTAATGGGCTCAATGTCCCCATATCATTACTGTTCACAGATTTGCATCCTAGATTTAAAAAATAAAACAATGTTATGGTCTTCGAGCAGACATGGTCTATGTCCATACAAGTTCAGATTGTCCCTCAAGAAGGGGTGAAAAACAGTCAAGAATACTTTGATATTAAACACAGTTTTTATCTCTTTCAGGACTATTCACAAGTATTCAGTGATTCTGGAAGAAGGGTAGTCCAGGGAAAATAATACATTTCTCTTATGAAACCAGAATTGAAATGGAGTAGCATATATACATACCTGTACCTATGTATTAATTTATTCAATCAGTGTTTGTTAAGTACATACTATATTCAAGACTTTATGCTCAGAACAAAAGTTACTAAGACAAAGGAGTCTAGCACTCAATAGGCTAGTCTACAATTTAATAGAAGAAAGTTTTAGGGCCCGAGCATCACAAGGATATACCCAAATTAGGTTAAGAGGTTAAAAGAACTGCTTAGAGAAAAAAGGAACTGGACCCCTTCCTTACACTTAACACAAAAATTAACTCAAGATGGATTAAATTTAAAACTCAAAACCACAAAAACCCTAAAAGAAAACCTAGGCAATACCATTCAGCACATAGGCATGGGCAAAGACTTCATGACTAAAACACCAAAAACAATGGCAACAAAAGCCAAAATTAACAAATGGGATCTAATTAAACTAAAGAGCTTCTGCACAGCAAAAGAAACTATCATTGGAGTGAACAGGCAACCTACAGAATGGGAGAAAAATTTTGCAATCTATCCATCTGACAACGGGCTAATATCCAGAATCTACAAGGAACTTAAATTTACAAGAAAAAAGCAAACCCATCAAGAAGTGGGTGAAGGATAGGAACAGACGCTTCTCGAAAGAAGACATTTATGTGGCCAACAAACATGAAAAAAAAATCTCATCATCACTGGTCATTAGAGAAATGCAAATCAAAATCACAATGAGACGCCATCTCATGCAGTTAGAATGGTGATCATTAAAGAGTCAGGAAACAACAGATGCTGGTGAGGTTGTGGAGAAATAGGGACACCTTTACACTGTTGGTGGGAGTGTAAATTAGTTCAACCATTGTGGAAGACAGTGCGGTGATTCCTCAAGGATATAAAACCAGAGATACCATTTGACCCAGCAATCCCATTACTAGGTATATACCCAAAGGATTATAAATCATTCTACTATAAAGACACATGCACATGTATTTTTACTGCAGCACTGTTCACAATAGCAAAGACTTGGAACCAACCCAAATGCCCATCTATCATCTATCAGGAAAATGTGGCACACATACACCATGGAATACTATGCAGCCATAAAAAAGAATGAGTTCATGTCCTTTTCAGGGACATGGATGAAGCTGGAAACCATCATTCTCAGAAAACTAACACAAGAACAGAAAACCAAATGCCGCATGTTCTCACTTGTAAGTGGGAGTTGAACAATGAGAACACATGGACACAGGGAGGGGAACATCACACACTGGGGCCTGTCAGGGGGTTGGGGGCTAGGGGAGGGAGAACATTAGGACAAATACCTAATGCACGCGGGGCTTAAAACCTAGATGACAGGTTGATAGGTGCAGCAAACCACCATGGCACATGTATACCTATGTAAAAAACCTGCACATTCTGCACATGTATTCCAGAACTTAAAGTGAAAAAAAAAAAAAAAAAAGGACTGCTTAGTTCTCTTGTTGGCATTACAGTTTTGGAGCAGACACACAGAGGTTTGCTCAGAGAGTCAGCCATTGAAGGTGCTGTGTCCTGAACAAGCACTCATCCATGCCTCTCTACATTTGACCTCACTTGTGTTCTATCAGCCAAAACATGGAAAGGATTCATCTGAAGAGAGCAGGCGTCTAACAAGGGAAAATGAAAAATTTTAATTACCTACTGTTTCCATGCTTCATGGACCTTTTTTTTTTTAAATTTATTTAAAGCCAAGCAACATGGAACAAAAAGCCCTGAATTCAACTGATTTTAAAGAGATGCAGAACTTGCTGTGACAAACTGGAGCTACCAGCTGGCAGGCAGTGCAGCCCCACTGAATAAGGCACTAGGAGGAGAAATCACTGTGGAACCACTAGGGGGGACCACAGCTCCAGGGAGCAGAGAGAACTGCTTTGGACACACTAGAGAAAGCCACATGGATGCTTCCTGTGGCTTTAATTTTGTTCTTTAAAACTCTTAACCATGGAATTCTGCCTCTTCTCCCAAATAGCCACTAACAGGAGAGCACCTAGTGCTACAATGGTACATTAAGAATAATCATTAGAAACAAAAGGATATTAAATGAAACTAACTGAGGTCCCCAAGAAGAGTCAGGAAATTTAGGAAATCTACACATACATATCTCAATCTATCCTTTTAATTCTGTTATAAATTTTATCATGGACACAAAATAAGGGATAAATGAGGCTGAAAACTATTCTGTACAACATTAGGAAGTGAACATGCCTTAGCAGGGAAAGGAGATCAGCAACGTGGGGCGGATTCACAGCCCAGCTCTGCTTCCCCACCATTAAAAGGCTTCAACACAGCCAACTGTATGCTATGGACTCGGGCAGGGAATGTTTCAGAAGTGAGAGGAATTTAGGCTAGTTGTGTGTCTCTCAGTCCAAGGAGACCTGTATAGAACTAGCATTCAGAATAGAACAGTCAATACACAATGAGCCCAACTTTCTGGAAATTCCAAATATGAGATGGGAACCTATAAAACAACACGATACAGAGCTCTATTCACATTACACAAGTGTTAACAATACAAAAGCACTCTCCCTTTTTTCTCATAATTCTTTTTTTTTTTAAGTTAGATTCAGGGGGTACAAGTGAATATTTGCTACATGGGTATATTGTGGAATGGTGGGCATTGGGCTTCTGGTATACCTGTCACCCAACTATTGAACGTTTTATCCAATATATCCAGTAGGTAATCTTTCAACCCTCTCCCTCTCCTTCCTTTCCCATTTTTGGAGTCCCCAGTGTGTATTATTTCCTTCTTATGTCCATTGTTATAAATGAGAACAATGTGATATTTAATTTTCTGCTTCTGAGTTAGTTCACTTAGGATAATGGCCTCCAGCTCTATCCATGTTTCTGCAAAGAAGATGATTTCATCCTTTTTTTAAAGGCTATGTAGTATTCCATGGTGTATATACACCACATTTTTTTAACCCGGTCAACCATTGATGGGCACTTAGTTCCATGGCTTTGCTATTGTGAATGGCACTACCACTTTTTTAAAGGATGCATTTATCACAGGATTTCATTTGAAAGAAATCCTGCTAGTGCATTTAAAATAGGTGAAATTACCAAAATTTTAAAAACATAATTTTTCGGTAATATGTTTATGGCCTCATGACATTCTAAAAACAGAGGTAAAAAGTATATTTCTAAGAAATGAATACCATTATCATTAATTTTTTTCTAAAGTTAGCTTTCTGTGTTATATGATTCTCTCCTAATAGTCATGTGAAAATATCAGATGTAAGACATTTCCATTTAAAGTTGGGCGTTGCAGGAGCAAAATACCAATCAATTATAAAGGAAAATATGATGGACACATCAAAGTCAAGCTTACAAGCAATGGGGAAAATATCTGCTCAAATTATTTTCACTTTTGTTTCTAAATATTTAATTTTTCAACAATTTAACTATTTAAATTCAAAGTTTCCAACTATATTGCTAAACTAGAAATTGCTGAGATCTTCAAAAATATTTATCAAGAAAAAAACTGACATGAACCCTACACTAATTAAAGCTATAGATATATATTTTGGGGGGAGTGTTCAAGTCCCAGGTTAATCACCTGTGCTTTAGACTGGAGGCAACATGAACTCTAAGACAAGATGGAATATGTGGAAGTGGAAAGGACCACCGATACAAAAATAACATCTGCTCCAACCCCTAGGCAATCAGAGTGTCAAGCCTAAAATGCCTTTGGCAGTACATCTGCAGTATTTAAGTCTCGCGCTGAAATGACCTAGAGGTGCAGTTTCACATAGCCCTGGGGAAGGCTGACATCCAGCAGAGGGGTCTGTGGTGAATGGTGAGGGTCAAGTTGAGCAGCTGGGGTCTGCTATGAATGGTGAGGGTCAAGCTGAGCAGCTGGACCTCACTCCCTTGCCTCCAATCCAAGTCAGGTTTATCTGTTTATGTATTGGGCCTCTCAGTGTGATTTTATTTGAAGGAAAGTTTTTTTCTGCTAAAAAAATACAAATTAGGAGAATTTGAAAGTGCCGAATAGGTTATCTCTGGGTGATTTTTATCTTTCGGATCATCCATGGTTTATTTTTCTATTTTTGCTTTCTATATCTTTCATATTTTCAACAATAAAAATGTATTGCTTGTGTAATTAAAACACATGCAAAGTTACATTAAAATAAAATAATAAGCTTTGCCTACTTCTCCAAAAAAAAGTGCTGAAAACAGGCTTTCTGCTGGGATTGTAGAATTTTGAATGTGCGTTGCAGTTTTCAAACATAAAGCACAGCTGTTTTGTCTCTTACCCTGAAGCTGTGAAAAAGGGGAAAGATTTTTGAAAGCAGGAACAGGAAAAGACTGTTGAGAAAAGTGGCTGCTATTTCTAGGCTAAAGTCTCCCTGACAACACTGTTCTTACAAGTAATGCCTTCTTACGTGGTCTTAGCGGGATTGATGAGTGATGAATCCAGAGGTTCTGTGGGACCCAAAGTCAGCAGAGACCAGAAGAAGTTTGAGACAAAGAGAAGAATGATAGCAGGCTGGAGAGATGTAACAGACAATTTACTGCAGTCAGTGGTGTCTAATGGACAGTGTAGCTAAGTGGCCCACAGAGATCTGCAAGAAGATAGGACCAAAGAGGTCACTAGGTTTGCAGCCTTGCAGGTCAGGATGAGGTTCCTGAGATACGAGAGGGTCCAAGACCTCAGGGATTGAGGCTGAAGAAAAAGTGCAGCTTTGAGGAACTGCTACAAAGAGCAAAAGGTGAGCATAATCAGCAATTGGCTGGCACAGAAAAACTGCAGACTGATTAAAAATGAGTACTGGACATTGGGGGTTAGAGATGATTTAGAGGTGCAATGCTCTAAAGTAAAAAAAACCTAATTGTAATTTAGTTTTAAACGTGTAATTTAAAAACAAAGCACAATAGATAAAAAGAATGGGCATAGCTTTTGTGGCTAGATCCCTGAGCAGTGTTCCCCACTCAATGGATCAGGCAATTCTGGAATGCATGAATTTAAAGAAACAGAAATACATTACGGATGTAAATAACAAAAACAAAGAATTCGCAAGACAGGCACAAAAGCATACACATTAGAAACAGGACTTAAGCCCGTGCAGAGAGAACCTGCATAGGTGTCACAATCAGCATATATCTAAAGCAATGGTTCTCAAAGTGTGGTCCCCAAACCAGCATCACCAGCATCACCTGGGAGCTTGCTGGAAATGCACATTCCCAGGCTGTGCTTCAGACCTACTGGATCATAAACTCTAGGTTGTGAGGCCTAGGAATCTGTTTTAAAAAGGCTGCCAGGTTATTTTTATGCATGTTAAATTTCAAGATTTGCTGATCCAAAAATATTAAAATCACCAGAAAAAGCTACCTATCAAACATAGTGAACACAAGAATGAACATCGAAAGAAGACGATGCCAAATGAAGCCAATCAAGGACTGAGATTCAACCTTAAACCATCCATAGCTAGAATTCTTCCCAATCTCCCACCCTAGTTCAAGTCTATATTGCTTCTTGCCTGGGCTACTTCCATAATAGCTGGGATGGCCATCTGTCCTGGTTTGCCTGGGGAAGTCCTGGTTTGAATCTGTTGTCCTGGTGTAATAATAAAAGGTCCCCATTATACTCTCAAAATTGTCCAGGTTTAGAGTATAATTGTATGGCTCCCCTAGCAATAGCCTCCTCACCATTTCCCCTGCTTCTGCTTTTGCCCATCTCCAATATGGTATCTTCACAGAAGCTAAGAATGTAAATTGTTGATGTTACTCCTCTCCTTCAAAGCCCTTCCATGACTTTTCGTTCCTCTGAGACAGAACTTTGACCCTTTGCAATGGCCCTCAGTGCTTATCTTCCCATCTTCTCCTTGTTCCATGTTCCTTCTTGCTTTCTTCATTCTCAGTAAAGTGGCCTCCTGTCAGTACCTTGAGAATCCATGTTCATCTGACCTCAAGACCTCTGCACATGCTGAGGACAGTCCTTCTTCCTGGACTGTCCAATTTCCCTCCCTCTGCCAGTGTCATGTAGTCTCTTTTTTTCACTTAGTAATATTCTGAATGATTTCTCAAATACTCTTTGAAAGAATTATTTTAATGACTGCATAGTTTCCCATCATGATCTACCTTAATTTATTTAGCCATTACCTAATATTATACATTTTGGATTGCTCCCTATTTTTTTAACGAAGCTATAATTATAAATTAGTTATGGTTCTTGGTTGCAACCAACGCAAACTACCTTAGGCAAAAAGGGAAACTTATTGGAATGATATTGAGATTTCTCCATAAATGAAATAAGTGTTAAACAATGAAATTGCACAAAAGGCAGTGATCGAATAATTGAGACCAAGTATATAAATGTTATCTATCTATCAATCTATCTATGTATCCACACACAGAGGGATATATATACACAAACATACATAAATACACATACACATACGTGTGTATATACATATATATTAAAACGCTCACTCATCTTTTCTTCTCTCTGTGTGCAGCATCACCCTTTCTCTAGAAAAGACTCACTCTACATGGCTGCTAATGCTCTCAAACCATGGCTCCCACCACCAGCCACAGATACTGAATCATATTCTCTCTTACCTGACTAGCAAGTTGGGCTAAAAACCAGACAGGTTTGGAATTGCACCATCCTTTCAAAATTCCCCGAGGAAAGGCTCAGATTGGCTCCACTTGTGTCACGTACCCACCCTCGGGACAATCGACGATAACAGCATTTGTACAAACCCCACGGTTAACAAGGAGTATGAAGCCCAGATAAAGGAGGTGGTTCTTCCCAGAACATGGGCAGAGAGATGCTGAGCAAACACAATTATAGATATCTACTATAGAAGAAGATATTTGTTTGTAATGCTATGGAGTGGGGGGGGGGGGGGGAGGATTTTTTAAAATCTGCATATTTTTAAATAATAAAAACATAAAAGAAAATGGTTTTAAAATCTGTAATTTCCATCTCTCAAGTCTTTCATTTTTTTCTATTGCATTCAAGTATTCTTCCACATGGATAGTTTTAACTACCTAGTTTTGAATAGTTACATTCAAATTAAACATAAAATCACATATCAAGGCTTTTGTCACTTACCATTTTATCACACCTTTGTTCATGTGTGCATTGTAGTCCCTGTGTTTTCCTTTATCTCATTATTAAAATAGTATTTGCTCACTGTACTACCACTACTAATAATAATGGCTGAAACTTGAATGGAGTTTTCTGGGCACTGTCCTAAGCACATTATATATTTTAATATTTAAAATATTTAATTTTGATTCATCTGCCCGAGTACTGACTTATCAGGTAGGTGCAATTATTGTCATCGTTTTTTTGGGAATAGGAAACTGAGGCACACAGAGGTTGAGCACCATGAGCTAGTAAGTGGCAGGGTCAATCTCCGGGAGCCCAGCTCTAGATTTTCAAAGCAACACTTGGATGAAGCAGGAAAACACATACATGCTCCTGACTCCCTGAGATCACGCCTATTTACATTTGGATATATCTTATCCCATCTTTTAAAAATTTGCATTCTTCTTCTTACACAGTTAAAATTATGCCACAAGGTAAATGGCGAATATTTGGCAGATATCGCAGAATTCCCTATCCTGATCCCCATTTCACCCCAAACAACCACAGCCCACATAAGCTTCTGTCCATACCATTCATTCCTGTTCCATTCTTTCAGGCCCAGATGTGGCCTGAAAATCCATCTGGGAAAAAAAGAAGCCCTCTCAGTCAATTCTAGCTGACACGTGAGAGAAACCTATCTACAATTTCTGTACTTTAATATATCATTAAAATTCCTGCATTTCCCCACATTGTTAGAATCCCTTTAAGAACATCTATTAAAGCAGAATGATTTTTTTCATTTCCTAAATATGATCATTTAAGTCGTTTTCAATATTTTTGCCATTATAAATAGTACATAGTTGTTTTAAAATAATATATAATGCTATAATGAATAATGTAAATTTTATCTTTATTTCAGGTTTTTTCCTTAGTACAAATTCTAACGGAAAGCATAAATGTCAGACCTTTTATATCACAACGCTCCCAACCTTCAGTTTTCCATTTTCTCTTCTCAGTCAGGTCCATTATCGGGGGTTGGGTTGGGGAGGTCGACTAGGGAGGAGGGAGAGGCAGAGAGGGGAGATGTATGTGGATGTCACAGGGAGAGGGGGCTGCTTCTTCCTTCTTCCTGATGGCACCAGGGAAACACTCCCAGTCCCTCTTCCATGCCCTCGCCAACTCTTCCCTGGGTAGCAGTGGGAGTGGAACAGAGATGCAAGTTGGGCTAAAAAAAAACTACACAGGTTTGGAATTGCACCATCGTTTCTGAACCAAGCCTGCCTTCAGGAAACAATTGCTCTTCTCGGCCCTGCATGCTGAATGTTTACCAGGACAGGCACTCACATAGGGGAGACATTTCTGAAGATAGCTTTCTAGTCCTAGGGTTCAGTTAGGAAATCCAATATTTCATAGATATAAGACACGTTCTCCAATATGAGCTTTATCAGATTATAAAGGGAGGATTTGGGCCCATCTGCCCAATTCTGACTATTTCTCAATTGGTTCAGAACTTGGGAAGAGATGATGGATGCTACTGACTATATCCCAAGCCCTCAGTAAGTGGAAATATTTATTATGGCATTTCAAGATGTTTTCCAAACTCTCATATTTTAAATTATCTTTGCATTTTATACAAAGTTGTGCTGTGTATGCATTTATTTATAACCATTAACTCTCAAAAGTTCAGCAGTTTTGCTACATTTTCATATGGTATTTTGTTTTACATGCGAATGGTTTGGGGCCAGCCTGGGTGCTATTTCTTTGCAGGTAATTATTCCCCCTGCCTGAATGCTTTCAAAATCATTTTGAAAAATCATTGCTAATTTTTTAAAAATTTCAGGTTATCACCAAAGGTGGTTCTTTTTTTCATTGACTTTGCCTAGAATGTAGTAAACTAGCTCCACTCAGATAGCATACTTATTTGTTTTTACTTTTTAAGCTTAGGCATATTTCTTTGTCTTTGGTCATGATTTGCATTGCAATTGTCCTTGTTTTTTACTCTCTAGGAGCATTTATTATTGCTGGGTTAGCCCTCTAATTTCTGTCCTCCATGTTGATCCTATTTTCACTCATTTCTACCTCTCAGTCTTTCTCCCTGTATTTTTGAGAATCTTCTCATTTGTCTTTTACATCTGTCTCAGTTTTCACCTCTGTTGCTTACCACTTCTACTTATGTGCTTAGCGCATAATATTATTCAATAAATGTTTCCCAAATAAATAATAAATGAACAAACTGTGGGATTTTTAGTTTTTGTGTGTTCTCTTTTCTTCTCTCATGTACCTCTTCATTTGATGCCACTGTTTCATCTCAGTTACACTCTCATTTTGATTTTTGGTACACATTCTTTTTCCTTTAAATCATTTTGAGCAAATTAGATGTACCCATTTTATAGAGCCATTTCTTCCTGCATCCTAGGAGCACACCAAACCAACTTTCTCCTTATCTTATGGTAAACCATATTTTAGAGGTCTGTCCTTATTCTGAGTCTTGAGAATAATGCTTTCTTCTTTTTACTTAGCAATATTTAACCCTGTAAGACTCAACATTTAACCCTGTTTTCTCATCCTAGAATGAGGTGAGCTCCGACCAGATCTTATGTTAGTAATACATACATAGAATGTGTGCTTTTTTGGCCCCACTTCACGTGGGGTAGCTTGAGTCACTTCAGATCTCTTTGAGTAGACTGAGTCACCTTCTCAGGTCCATGTCTGATGTCTATGTATGATGAGTTGGTGTACACAATTTTTAGCTGGTTTCATTTCCAGCAGCATTTCATCTAACAGGCATATGCTGGAATGAAATAGAATCTCGCCTGCCCCACTGCATGACTCGAGGATGCTGGGAACAGATGGAGTTCATAATGCACGACAGTCCCCATGAGCCGCCAGTGCTTCCCGACTGCTTCCACCACAGCACTTTACTTGTGGGAATCAAACCTCCCAGGATGAAATTCAGTCCTCCCTTACTTCCTGCCCAGTTGTTTCTTGAAAGTGTTTTATTCTGCTGAATACAGAAAAAAGAGGTGCAGATGGGAGACAGGCACAACACTGGCTGCTTCAAGAGAAAATGTCATCACAGGAGAGGGAGGACTGCCCATTTTTTCATTTGGTACAGCTCTTCCATTTCTGAATGACAGATGAAAAGGTAGATCATCCCATCTTTGTTCCAGTTGGCATACCACACAATAGAACAAGAATTGTTTTCCAAATCAGCTTCGTGAGCTTTATCACTATAAAATTCATCCAGATTCTGGCATTGGGTTATCTAGTGGTCAATTAATATTTGATGATAGTTTTCAAAATGTAGACTCTATTGATCAGACTGAGGAGGTTCCCTTCTACAAGGAGTTTACTAAGTTTATCATGAAGGGATGTTAAATTTTTATCAATGCTTTTTCTGCGTCTATGGAGACAGTCATATGATTTTTCTCCTTTATTCTGTTAATGTGGTGAATTATATTTATTGATTTTTTTAATGTTGCAGATTTTGCATGCCTGAAATAAACCCAATTTTATAGTGATGTATTAGCCTTTGTGTAACTAATATTTTATTTATGATTTCTCATTTTTTTGAGATATTTGGCCTATGATTATCTTTTTTGTAACATCTTTGTCAGGTTTTAATATCAAGATTATGCTGGCCTCCTAAAACAAATTGGGAAGTATTTTCTTTTCTTCTCTTCCTAGGAAGATTTTTGGCTTTATTGTTGCTGCTGTTTAGTTTTTGTAAGATTGGGGTATTTTTAATTTATTAAATGTTTGCTATAATTCACAAGTGAAGGTACATTGGCCTTTAGTTTCCTTTTAAATTACGGATTCAATTTCCTCAGTAAGCACAGGACTTTTCAATTTTTCTAACTTTTTAAAATTAGTTTGGGTAAATTATACTTTTTTAAGCAATTTTTGCATCTCATCTAAAATTTCAAATTATTTTCCAGAAAAACGTATAATATCCTCTTTTTGTCTTTTTAATTTATAAGATATGTAGTGATGTTCCTCTTTTTACTTCGTTAGTCATTTGTGACATCCCTCTTTTTTTCCTTGATTAGCCTCATCAGGGGACTATCCATTTTTTTAGTTACTTTCTTTACATGTGCTTGTTTGCATTGGTGGTGTGTTGATTCATAAACGTTTTATATTGCTATGTGAATCTATCCTTTTTTTGTGATTATTTTCTTTGCATGTTTTCCCCTCTCAAAATCAGATAAATCTGTATCTGTATTTTCTTTAAGTTTTTAAAATTTCTTTTATGGTTAATAAATTAAATTTTTTAAATAAAAATAATATATACACATATTTAAAAGAAAATATATCGGCCAGGTGCGGTGGCTCAAGCCTGTAATCCCAGCACTTTGGGAGGCTGAGGCGGGCGGATCTCGAGGTCAGGAGATCAAGACCATCCTGGTTAACACGGTGAAACCCTGTCTCTACTAAAAACACAAAAAATTAGCCGGTCGTGGTGGCGGGCGCCTGTAGTCCTAGCTACTCGGGAGGCTGAGGCAGGAGAATGGCGTGAACCCAGGAGGCGGAGCTTGCAGTGAGCCGAGATGGCGCTACTGCACTCCAGCCTGGGCGACAGAGCGAGACTCTGTCTCAATAAAAAAAAAAAAAAAAAAAAGAAAGAAAAGAAAATATATCGAACAGTTCAAAAGGTATAATGTGAAAAGTAAAATTCTCTCTATTTACCCTAACTCTCAGTTTCACTTCTCAAAATTTCTAGAATGAGTTCCTCTGTCTATATCCAGGATACATTTATGCACAGACCAATGTGTGTGTGTGTGCATGTGTAAACACACAGACATACACACACGTTATATATATTATTTTAACACATTTGGGGACAGACACAGAACTAAACATATACATGTATTCACATGTTATTAGACATTTGCTTACAAGAATATGCTTTTGTTCTTCAAAATTAATGATTCTCCAAAAAAATAATAGATGTTGGTGTGGATGCAGTGAACAGGGAACACTTCTACACTGCTGGTGGGAATGTCAACTAGTACAACCACTATGGAAAATAGTGTGGAATTTCCTTAAAGAACTAAAAGTAGAACTACCATTTGATCCAGCAATCTCACTACTGGGTATCTACCCAGAGGAAAAGAAGTCACTATACAAAAAAGATACTTGCACATGCATATTTATAACAGCACAATCCACACTTGCAAAAATGTGGAACCAACCAAAATGCCCATCAATCAACGAGTGGATAAAGAAACTGTGATATATATATATATATATATATATATATATATATATATATGATGGAATACTACTCAGCCATAATATAATATATAATATCACAGTTGTGTGATATACAACAGAATACTACTCAGCCATGAAAAAGGAATGAATTAATGGCATTCACAGCAACCTGGATGAAGAAAGCTGGATGAAATTGGAGACTATTATTCTAAGTGAAGTAACTCAGGAGTGGAAAACCAAACATCATATGTTCTCACTTGTAAGTGGGAGCTAAGCTATGAGGATTCAAAGGCATAAGAATGACACAATGGACTTTGGACTTAGGTGGAAAGGGTAGGAAGGGGGTGAGGGATAAAAGACTACAAATTGGGTGCAGTGTATGCTGCTCAGGTAATGAGTGCACCAAAATCTCACAAATCACCACTAAATAACTTACTCATGTAACTAAACACCACCTGTTCCCCAATAACCTATGGAAATAAAAAACTAAAAACAAAAACAAACAACAACAAAAAAATAAAATTAGTGACTCTCAAACTTTAATATGCATCTGACTCACCTTAAGATTTATTAAGATACAGACTGCTGGGTCCCACCACCAGAGTTTCTAGTTCAGCAAGTCTGGGTAGGAAGCTGAGAATCTGCATTTTTAACAAGTTCCTTGGTGTTGTGTTGGTCTGGGACCATACTTTGAGAACCACTGCTCTAAATGATTATTTCAAAATCCCAGAGAGTAGTGGCCTTCAATTCAAGTGTATTTAATAAAGAAGAGCAGAACCCGGAATTAGAGCAGTCGTTGATGTGGTATGACCCACTCAGGAATTCCCTCTACCGTGACTTCCAGCCAGCCCCCTTTCTACACAGACCCCATTTTCAAAATTGACATTCACGCAGGGAGTATCCCTCATTTATTTTCCAATAATACAACCCTGTTGTATAATCAAGTGCTAATATGATACTGAAGGGACATGAATTTAAGCCTCTTATCTGTGACCACATTTGCATGGTTCGCAGGACACATAGTTTCCGACGGGGCTGCAAAAAGGAAGGTCTGGAGGACAACTGTTTGCCAAGCTCAGGCCTCAGATCTACATCAGCATCACTGGAGACATTCATGTGTACTACAGATTCCCACTCCATCCTAAGAATCTGGAGCTACGGAACATGGATCCCAGGGATCTGCATTCTTAAAAAGCATCCAAGATCATTTTTATGCATCCTTGCACTTCCTAACTGTGGCCTGGGGAATGGAGCAGGATGGGAGGACCACTAGGGAAAAGGCAGTGGATTGCAAAGGAAGCCTCTGGAAGCAGGGAGTAGCATACAAAAACAAAAAAAGAAACTGCAATAAGGAGCTGCCTACCACCGCCCAACTACCTTTTTTTTTTTTTTTTTTTTTTTTTGTGACAGAGTCTCGCTGTGATGCCCAGGCTGGAGTGCAGCGGCACGATCTCCGCTCACTGCCACCTCTGCCTCCTGGGTTCAAGCAATTCTCTGCCTCAGCCTCCCGAGTGGCTGAGATTACAAGCATACACCACCAGGACCGGCTAGTTTTTTAATTTTTAGTAGAGACAGGGTTTCACCATGTTGGCCAGGCTGGTCTCGAACTCCGGACCTCGTGATCCACCCGCCTTGGCTTCCCAAAGTGCTGGGATTACAGGTGTGAGCCACCGTGCCCGGCCTAGCCAACTACCTTTTATTTAGCACCTCCTAGGTACGTACCCAGAACTCCTTCAGGCACTTCATATGGGTTACCATCGCTGTTCTCACAACACTATGATATCCAGGTAGCAGAGTACAAGGAAGACATGCTAGTAAGGGGTGGTACTGAGATTTAGGCCCGTGCTTGACTCCAGTGCCTGTGCTTGTTTTCCGTTCCACGATGCCTCTTTCACCATTTCTTTCACCCAAGTGATGCAGGATTTGGGTGGTTGTGCTTTCATACCTGCACTGCCCTTTGAGTGTTGGTGAAGCGGTTTTGTTGGCAGAATTGTTGGTGACCATTACACATTGATGTGCCAAGAGATAAAGAGGATAAGAATGGCTGGGTCATTGGTAAATTTGGTGATATGGAGAGACAAATGGAATAACTAGAGCCCAAGTAGAGTTTCATTCGCAGTTGCTTAATTCGGCCACTGACAAAGCCTCATGTCTAAAACAACTATTCAGTCAACCATCCTCTGAATCACCATCACAAAAAAAAAAAAAAAAAAGGAATAAAACAAACCCCGAGTCTGATTATGGAAACGCATCAGGCACCAAGAACAGCAAAGCATTTGGAGTCTGGGAAATCCCAAAACTAACATTGCCAAGATCTCGTTTCTTCTGATTCTGAAATCCATGTGTGCTTCTTGGAAAATTTAACCCACATGTTTTGAGATCATTTACACTTAACCCATCAATATGCAGTTTTAAAAGAACCATTTGATGTCTAGAAGCCTGATGTGCTTTCTTTCTTTTTTTGTTTTTTAACACAAGCCTCTGTAAGCACATCCTCTCCCACCCATAGCCAGTTTCTGAAGCTGGAAGTCATATTTTGTCAATAAAAACTAAGCCTAGAACCTGAAAACAGGCAACCCCAGGCCTAACCTATGAGCATATGAAAAGTGACAAGTCTGAAGTCTGAACAAATATGTCCTGTCATTTCCAAGAAAAGTCTACTGCAAGCTGTGAGAAGCCCACCGTGCTGCAGATTCAGCCTCCTCTCCACACAGCCCTCCGCCGAGCAGGGGAACACAAGATGTATTCCAGAACTTTGTTTTTTATTTTTTAGTTCAAAGAGAGCTCTGCCCACTTTTTTCAGGGTAGCATTCTGGAAGTTCAATTTAGTGATTCATTCCAGTGAAATTCACAGGATACGAAACCATGATGAATAGACTCCAAACTGTTTCTCTCTCGCTTTTGTGGAAGTTTTCTCTGAGAAGAACACCCCAAACTCTATCAAGGGCTAGTCACCCAGAGCCTTATCAGGGACACCTGAAATCAAACGGGAGTGGTGGCCATTATCTATAACACACTTCCAAGTAGGGAAACAGTACTTACTCAAATCCATTATTCATCATTTATTTCATATACTGTATTCCCCTTTGGTTTATTAGGTTGATTTTAATTGCCACACAGTTTTTCCAACTTGAGGCTATAGTAAATTACTAGCATTACTAGACTCTGTTTCCAAGTATTTGAAAAGCAAACCCAAATCCAGGGCAGATCTCTCCCTGCATGAGATTACATTTTAAGTTAAAATGAATACGTTGATAGAAAACAGTACGACGATTCCTCAAGAAATTAAAAATAGAATTGCCGTTTGATTCAGCAACTTCACATCTGAATATATATCCAAAAGAACTGAGAGCAGGATATCAAAGAGATATCTGTACACCAAATATTCGTAACAGCAATATTCACAGTAACCAAAAGGTGGATGCAAACCGATGTCCATTGACGAAGGAATGAACAAACAGTCAGGATACAGTAAGTCCTCACTTAACATTGTCAATAGGTCCTTGGAAACTGTCTTTAAGCTAAGCGCCATATAACGAAATTAATTTTACCACAGACTGATTGAAATAAAGAAGAGTTAAGTTCCTACAACATATTTCTGGTTACCAAGGCATCACCAAACTTCTAAATAGAAACCAAAGCACTTCTAATATTAAACATTGAAATAAATGTGAACTATAGATACATTTAAGAAAGATTAATAAAAATAAGATAATTACTTACCCAATTATCCCAGTTAATGGTCACAGGTGGCCAGAACCTATCTTAGCAACTCAGGGTGCAACACAGGAACCCACCTTGAACAGAACTCCATCCCATCACAGGGCACAGTCAGGCATGCACTCACACTCACAGTGTGACCATGTAGACACGCCAGTTCACCTAAGGGGCACATCTTTGGGATAGGGGAGGAAACCCATGCAGACATGAGGAGAATATGCAAACATTGGTTCCTGCCAGGAATTGATTTCTTTTCCTCATGAATGTTATAACAAAATGACATTGACCAAATTGGCTTTATTTGAAGACCTCTGTATATACATATAATGGGATATTGTTCACCTTAAAAGGAAGGGAATTCTGACACATGCTACAACATGGATGAACCTTGAAAGCATAATACCAAGTGAAATAAGCCAGTCACAAAAGGACAAATACTGTATGACTTCATTTATATGAAGTACCTAGAGTTGTCAAATTCACAGAGACAGAAAGCTGACTGATGGTTGCTGGGGCGGGGTGGGGGTGGCGGGAAATGGGGAGTTACTGTTTAATGGGTGCAGAGGTTAGGTTCAGTTTGCAAGATAGAAAGACTAGTTCTGGAGAGATGAATGGTAGTTACGGTTGCACTATATGAATGTACTCAATGTCACTGAACACTGTCACCTAAAAATGGCTAAGATGGTGAATTTTATGTTGTGTGTGTTTTATCACAATTTTTTAAAAAGAAAAGGAATAGGCTGAGCCGAAGTAGGTGAAGAGGTGCTAGACTTGAGGTTATTATTTTGCAATTTATCTATATCTACCTTGGGATGTTTAATCGTGTTTTGACCTAAGCCCTGGAAATATTTTGAGTGTATAAGAACACTAATGTGTTTCATGGTCTTTTATTATGTCTTTATTATTATTGTTATCATCACTATTTCCTAGCCTTAATATTAGTGTAGAACTGGTAAGGTCTTCTTGAGAAACTGACTTTTAGAATTAATCAGTTAACTAGTTCATCTCCTCCCCTCTAAAAAACCTGAGGAATAATAAAAGCCTTCCAGAATAGGGTGGCAGAGTGAAGCCAGATATTAAATTTTATCCCTCAAACCCTAAGAAAAATAATCTGAAAATAAGTAAACTTGAATAAGAAATATAGGGATACAAACTAATGCTATAATCTTTAAAAAGTGGTGGCCAAAAAAAAGAGAAAAATTCAGCAGCCGATTTGATACTCCTACCTTACTTCTGTAACGCAATCCTCCAAAGCAGTAGGAGAGGAAAAAGGAGAGGAAAACCTTCCCTGAATGAAAGAATTTGAGGGTGGGGTATATTTTTATTTTATGTGCATTCCCTTTAAAATATGATTTTACTCTAGATTTATGGCAAAGAATGATCATCAATCCCTTGATTCCCTTTGACAACGACTTTTGAACCTTCATTTATTACATTTTGAATGAGGTGAGAATTTAGACAGTTCTTTTAGGAATGAGGAAGAGATACTATGTAGATGCAGTGCATTAGGTTATTCTAGGACAATGGCAGAACAGGAGCCATTGTTCATAGCATCAGAAGTGGGGGAAAATCAAATTTAACGACGATAACAAAAAAGAGGTGAAAAGTGGAGAGAATTTAGGGGGGAAATGTGTGAGAATATATGAAGGGATCTAGAGACTATTGAAGAGGAAAGGAGCAGCTCAGAGGAAATCTGGGAGGAAGTTTCTGATGACATTAAATCCTGGGGGGCCAAGCCTGTAAATCGTTATTCTCACCTTTTGACTACATGCCTGGAAAGTCAAGGTATAAACCAAAGGGACATGACAGCTGATCAGGGGAAAGCTTTTGGTGAAAATATTAGAATTTGGATTTTTGCCATTGGAGAAGTTCAAGGGCTGACTGATCAGAGGATCTCTGAGCCATTCTCTGTCATCTAGCCAGGATAATACCTCAGCTCTCCCACAGAGTTCCATCTTGAATACCATATCCAGAGAGATAAACCACAACCTTGATTTGATTCTTAGCCACTGCCTGACCAAACAGGAAGCTTATCCTAGTGTCTACAGAATCCAAGCTGTCTGTGGAAGGTTAAGTCTGGCCAGCACACAATGAGTCAGCCGCCATTACCCAGAGGAGTGAGCTAGGGCAACCACTTTGGACAATATGTTGTTTTGGAAGTGAGGATTTCTTTTAAAACATTGGAGCCTGGGAACATGGTGTGCTTTATATAAAGTACAAAATAAATAAAAGATTTCAAGGAATTCCTCTCCCACATGACCAATTCGAAAACCCAAGCAGATAAACCCAAGCACTAAATGGATTCAGTGAGCACTCATTTACTCCAAATTTAAAAATATAATACACATGAAACTATTTTAGAAGTTTTTTTCCCCTAAAAAGGGAAGTCACTGAAATAGAGACAACTGGCCACAATAATTTGGTTTTTACCCAGTGTGGGCTTCCAAATTACATCAAAAAAAGGCACCAGAAGGGATTCAACTTTTTTTTGTAGGAGGAGGGGAGAACATGGGTTTGATGTCATGTTAGGAAGTAAGGTCAGCCCCATCCAAAAATAATTAATAACAGTTTACAGTTAGTGAGTAAATTGTCTAAGAGTGCCCTGTTTTTAATTTGGGGGAAGGGACACTCAATACCACATTGCTTCTTGTTTGCTATTATAATGTTTATTTGCAGCTGATATTAATTGTTTTCCACTGACATCCACTTTTTTCTCTTTCCATGGTAATAAAATGCATGATTTCTAACGGACCCTGTGGTTGCTCAGAATAAAGATATTTCGTATCACCTTTGCAGCTAGGTGTGGTCATATGGCTAATTCTGCTAATGCAGAGAGAAAGCGGCACGTGCAACTTATGAGCGCTTCCCTGAAAGGCACAGGCATGCTCTTTGTTTTTCCATTCTTCCTTTCTGTTAGTTGGAATTCAGATAACAATGAGTGATGTTCTAGCCATCAGTCTGGGCCAAGGGGTCCTTGAGAAGGGAATCAGCATGGTGAAGCCACACAGTGGAAGTAGCCTAGGTCTCTGACCCTCTGCAGTGCCCAGATTGTCCTGGACTGACAAACTCGACTTCTCAGGAACATGAGAGGAATAAACATCCATCCTGCTTAAGCCATTGTTATTTTAGGTTTCTTTGTTGCTTACAGCCAAAGCTAATCCTAATCAACAAGCTATTTTAAAAGTGTTGTTTGATTGAGAGAGCAAAGTCTAAATTCTCAAGTAACTATAACCTAAACCTGGATGTTAAGATGCCATGGTCCTATCAACAATCTTTTTCCTCATTTAGCCATTTGACACTGGCTCTTGAGACACAGAAGAAACCAAGAAGCTTTTGAGAAAGGACAGCCGAGAGCACAGAGGTTCCCAGCCCAAAGAGTGACACACATGCAGGCTAGACTCTGTGTTTTCATGGTAAAAATGATATGGCATTCGTGATCTTTTTCAGGGAAAATTCTGGCTTAAAAAAAAAAAGGCTCCAGCACTGGAGCTTGGCATCTCATCACTCAGGATTCATTTCTTTAGGTTAAGTAAATGTATGTTTTCGCCCTTTAAAATGCAAACTCATAGAGAGGCAAGACAGCAAGTCTCTTACACATTAGTATAAAGCTTCTTCTGTTTCATTCTGATTATAGAAAAGTCTTTAAAAGATAAAAGATATGTGTATTGAGGGGAGAGATGGGGAAAGTATAGAAATTGAGGATTCTAAAGAAGGAGAGAAAAGATAATTAAAAGACCATCTTCAAATATTTTATGATTATGCCAAGGACTGTCAATGCAAACAATGTCCAGAACCTTTACTCGGTGGAGTGATTGAAACCATAATGTAAAGAAATGTCAAGACAATTCCTTGGAATATGAACAACATGATCTTACCACCAACCTAGCTCGAAAAATGTAAAGAGTTTAAAAATCAGAATATACGGAGAAGGGTGAACACAGAGAAGTATCAGCAGTTTGCCCGGCATTATTGAAAACAAATAATACACTTGGAAGTTTCAATATTCGATAGGCAATAGCCATTGGGCAAATTAATCAGTTGCATTTTGCAACCCCTAATAAAATAATAAATCCAGGCAATAATAATCAATGACTTGCTAAAACCATTAGTTAAAAGAGGATGGGATGTCAGGTGCAGTGGCTCACGCCTGTAATCCTGGTGCTTTGGAGGCTGAAACCGGAGAAGCAGCTTGAGGCCAGGAGTTGGAGACCAGCCTGGGAAACATAGTGAGATCCCATCTCTTAAAAAAAACTGTTTTTTTATTTAGCCAAGCATGATGGTATATACCTATAGTCTTTGCTACTTGAGAGGCTGAAGTGGGAGGACTGCTTGAGCTCAGGAGCTCGAGGCTGCCGTGAGCTATGATCACACCATTGCATTCCAGCCTGGGTAAAACAGCAAGACCACATCTCTAAAAAAATAAAGTAAAATGAAAGAGGATGGGGGACTGTATAATGAGCAGGTCAAGCTGACAATATCTGAACTCACCAATCAATCTTAACATCACAAAATGAGAGACAATCAGACAGTGTGTGCCTCCTGATAGAAAGCAGTAGGAATTATATGGCACTACCTATGGAATCATCTTGCCAAAATATGGAATCTGAATCTGATCAAGCTTTCCAAGAAACAGAGAAACATGCTAAATGCTATCTTGGAAATTCAATCAGCAAAATCCAGAATGTGAGAAATTGTACAGACAAATGAATGACAATGAAAAAAGACAATAAGAAGAGGAGTGTTTAATTTAAAAAATGCTTAAGAGACTTATCAGATGAAACTTGTGATCCTTGTTTAAATTCCCTAATCAATCAAACCGACAAACAAAAACCAATTGTAAAATGACATTTATGAGACCAAAAAACAATCTGAACATTGACTACAAATTTGATGATATATTAAATTGTTGTCATTTCTTTAGTTTCAATAATAATATTGTGATCTTGGATTAGGCAAACAGTTTCTTAAATATGACACCAAAAACACAGCAACAAATAAAACATACAAATTGGACTTTATCAACATTTAAAACTTCTGTGCATCAAAGGACACTATCATGAAAGTAAAAAGAAAATCCACAGAACAGGAGAAAATATTTTCAAATCATATATCTGATAGGGTTGAGTATCCAAAATATATCTTAAAAACTCATAGATGCAACAATAAAGAGACAGCCCAATTTAAAAATGGGAAAAGGACTTGAGTAGACAATTTCCAAAAAATATCTATATTAATAACCAGTAGGACATGAAAAGATGTTCAACATCATTAGTCATTAGGGAAATGCAAATCAAAACAACAAAGGGATACTTCACACCCACTAGAATGGGTATAATAAAAAAGACAAATAACATGTTACCAAGGATGTGGAGAAATCAGGACCACACACATTGCTGGTGGGAAGATAAAAACGGTGCAGCCACTTTGGAAAACGGTCTAGCAATTCCTCAAAAAGTTAAATGTAGAATAACCAATGATCCAGTAATTCCACTCCTAGGTATATACCCAAGAGAAAAGAAAACATATGCTGTCACAAGAAGTGATACGTGAATTTTCACAATAGCATTGATGATAATAGCCAAAAAGTGGAGAAAATAATCCAAATGTTGATCAACTGATGAATGGGAAAACAAAATGGGGTTTACCTATACAGTGGAATATTATTCAGCCAGAAGAAGGAATGAAGTACTGATACCTCTATGATATTGATGAGTCTTGAAAACATTATCCTAAGTGAAAGAAGCCAGACCAAAAAAGCCACACATTGTATGATTCCATTTATATAAAATGTTCGAAATAAGCAAATCTATAGAGACAGAAAGTAGTCTAAAGGGTTGTGAGGATTTGGAAGTGGCTGCTAATGTGTAAGGGTTTTCTTTTTGGGGTGATGGAAGGGAATTTCCTATTTTCCATGCCCACCATAGAGAAGGACAGCTTTACTAGTGAAGGACAACGTTGTGTATATACTAAAAACCATTTAATTATATACTGTAAAATGGATAAAATGGTGAATTTTATCTCAGCAAAAAATGTTTTAAATAGTTTCATATGTTTTAAAAAAGAACCCTTATCTCTTAGAGCTGTATACTATATTTATGAATGACATGATAATGTCTAGGTTTTGCTTTTAAAAAATCTAGTGGGGTGGTAGTAGGTGGTAGTGCCTGGGAGTTAGGAGGGTATGAATGAAACCAGATTGGCCATGAGTTTGTATTTGTTGAAGTTGGGTGATGAGTACATGAGGGCTTGTTATACCATTCTCTCTGCATTTGTATAGGTTTGAAATTTTCCAAAAGTAAACATTTAAAATCAACCAATAGTGTGTTGTCCTTTAACAATAGTGGCAGAGAGAGACAGCATGTGAGGCACAGATGGGGCCTTACAGATTATCTAGTTCAGCTCTTTCTTTTTATATAAATGTGGAAACAGACGTACCCAGAGAGAGAAAAAATTATTTGCCCAAATGATCAGAGTTAGCTCCAAAACAGGGGTTGGCAAACTTTTTTTAATACTTGTTTTTTTAAGAGCAGTTTTAGGTTCACAGCAAAATAGAGAGGAAAGCACAGAGCTATGTCATATATCCCCCTCCCCGACACATGTATAGCCTCCCCTAATATCAACATCCAGCAGCAGAGTGGTACATCTATGACTATTGATGAACCTACATTGACACATTATTACCATCCAAAGGTCATAGTGTACATTGGGGCTCATTCTTGGTGTTTACATCTGTGGGTGTGGAATGTCATATAGTTGGAATCATACAATATGTAGCCTTTTCAGATTGGCTTCTTCCACTTAGTAATATGCATTTAAGTTTCTTCCATGTCTTTTTATGACTTAATAATTCACTTCTTTTTAGCTCTGAATAATATTCCCTTGTCTAGATGTACCATAATTTATCTATTCACCTACTGAGGGGCATCTTGGTTGCTTCCAACTTCTGGCAAGTATGAATGGAGCTGCTATAAACATCCTTGTGCAGATTTTTGTGTGGACAAAAGTTTTCTCCTCCTTTAGGTAAATACCAAGGAGTGTGATTGCTGAATGATATGGTAAGGGTATGCTTATGTTTAATTTTGTAAGAAACCACCAAACTGTCTTCCAAAGTGGCTGTACAGCCTTGCATTCCATCAGCAATAAATGAGAGTTCCCATTGCTCCACAACCTCACCACCACTTGTTGTTGTCAGTGCTCTGGATTTTGGCCATTCTAATATGTATGTAGTGGTATCTCATTGTTATTTTAATTTGCATTTTCCTGATGACAAATGAGGTGGAGCATCTTTTCATATGCTTGTTTGCCATCTGTATATCTGCTTTGGTGAGATATCTGTTAAGACCTTTGGCCCTTTGTTTTCAGATGGGGTCCCACTCTGTCACCCAGGCTTGAGTGCAGTGGCACAATCTCAGCTCACTGCAACTTCTGCCTCTTGGACTCAACTGATCCTCCCACTTCAGTCTCCTGAGTAGTTGGGACTACAGGCATGTGCCATCACATCTGACTAATTTTTGTAGAGATGAGGTTTCGCCATGTCACCCAGGCTGGTCCTGAACTCCTGGACTCAAGGGATCTGCCCACCTCAGCCTCCCAAAGTGCTGGGATTACAGGCATGAGCCACAGTGCCTGGCCTGGCCCATTTTTTAATTGGGTTGTTTGTTTTCTTATTGTTGAGTTTTAAGTTTGTTTTTTGTTTTTTTAATTTTGGACAACAGTCCTTTATCAGATATGTTTTTGCAAACATTTTCTCCCAGTATGTGGCTTGTCTTTTCATTCTCTTGAAGTATATTTTTCAGAGCAGTTCTCTAAAAATTTTTAATAAAGTCCAGTTTATCAATTCTTCCTTTCATAATTCATGCCTTTGGTATTGCATCAAAAAAGTCATCACCAAACCAGGTCATCTTGATTCTCCTATGTTACCTTCTAGGAGTTTTATAATATAGCCTTTTACATTTAGGTCTGTGATCCATTTTTAGTTAATTTTGATGAAGGGTCTCAGTCTAAATTCATTTGTTTGCATATGGATGTCCATTGTTTCATTTTATTGCCTTTGCTCCTTTGTCAAAAATCAGTCGACTCTATTTACATGAATCGATTTCTGGGCTCTCCATTCTGTTCCATTAATTTGTTTACTCTTTCATTAATACCACACAGTCTTGATTACCGTAACTTTCTAGGAAGTCTTGAAGTTCTCGAGTGTCACTCCTCCAACTCTGTTCTTCTCCTTCAATATTGTATTGGCTATTTTAGGTCTTTCACTGCTCCATATAAACTTTAGAATCAGTTTGCCAGTATCCACAAATGACTTGATGGAATTTTGATTGGGATTGCACTGAATCTGTAAATCAAGTTACGAAGACCTGACATCTTGATAATATGGAGTCTTCCCATTCATAAGCATGAATTATCTCTCCATTTATTTAGATCTTCTTTGATTTCTTTCATCAGAGTTTTGTCGTTTTCCCCATATAGATCTTGTACATACTTTTAAGACTTATAGCTGAGTGTTAATGTAAATGGCATTATGTTTTAAATTTCAGATTCCATTTGTTCATTGCTAGTATATAGGAAAGCAATTGTCTTTTGTATATTAACCTTGTATCCTCCAAACTTGTTATAATAACTTATTAGTTCCAGGAGTATTTTTGTCAATTCTTTTGGATTTTCTACACAAACTTTTTCTGTAAAAAAGCCATACAGTAAATATTTTAGGTTTTGCAAAATGGTTTATGTTCCAACTACTAAACTCTGCTGTTATAGCAGGAAAGTAACTATAGAGAATATGTAAAGAAATGAGTGTGACCCCGTTCCAATACAGCTTTATTTACTAATTACATTATGTATTACATTGTTATTTTATGTGTGTACGTTTTATTTTCAGGTTGTGGGTGGGCAGATTTGTTTGGTTCATCTCCTAGTGTCAATGAACTGAATTCTTCAGACTCTAATTCCTGTTCTTTTTTCACTGGCCTAAGTTACAAACAAACAAACAAACAAAAAAATCCCCTGAAAATCTCCACACTAATGGACTTGTGGTCACAAGTGATGACTCAGAAGGGAGAAAAACACCATCCTTGAACCAGAGCTTCCCTGCCCCATCTATTCCTCACCTCTCAGTTTTGACCTACAGATGATAGGGGTATAGGGTCATCTTCAAATCGTTTTGTCCTGTGACACAAATATCATAGCACATCACAACTGTAAATAAACCTGACCTGTAAATCAAGTTTAAAATGTGGGCAGGGGAGGAGAAAAAGTGTTTCAGAGAAAGTCTTTTCAAAAGAACATAATATCATACTGGGTCCTGGGCATTTAAATTGTTTAAAATGTAAATTAAAGTTAGTTTAAATTGTTTTTAAGTCAGTCTCTTGGTCTTAAATAGTTTAAAATAAATTTGATGTTAATAATTAATTTTGGTTAATAGCTTAAGCAGAATAAATGAGTTAAAATATCTAATATTTAATGATCTTTCAATTTGTATCAGGCATTCTGCTATAATACATGCAATATCACCTTGGATCCTTGCAAAAAACAAAAATGTCTCTTAGTAAACACAACTCTGAATTCTGGACAGAGTGTATGAGCCTATTTGAGGACTCTGGAATGAAATTGGTAGCAGACTGATTGAGGAAGAAGACCAGAATTCAAAGTTTCACCAAACTGGTGGAGTTTATCATTTTTTCCTTTCTGGTATCTCATGGCCTAAACTTAATGCACTGTTGAACTGGGGAGCCGGCACTGGAATGATCTCTCTCTAGAGGTCCAAGAGCAAGCCTCTAGATCTGGCTCAGGAGTAGAAAAAGGAACTCCTAAAACTCCAAGATGATGTATAAGTCCCCTCACTCTTTTTCATTCTCTCCATTTGCTTGCACCCCACAATCCCATGGCAACAGTGGTAGAGGCTGCAATTCAACAGGAGCCAAAACTGTGATAGAGGGGAGATTTCCTCCCCAAACCATGAAGCTGTGATCCCAAGAGGATGGAGCAAACCCTGTTGCCTTTTCTCTCTCTCTCTCTGTCTCACCAACCTTCTACCACTTGGTCCCATGGATGGCAGAGCGGGGTAAGTAAAGCCTCTGCATGCTGGCCACAGGCCCAAAGAGGAGAGCTTGAGAACCTGAAATTACTGGAAAATTGCAGAGAGGTATGAGCTCTGGAAAGTGACCCATAAAGTTGTTTGTTAACTACTGGGCTTACCCTTTAGTTGTACATGTACGGATCTGATCGCAATTGGCCTACCAAAAAGACTTTGAGAACTGAACTCATGATAGACCACTACCCAGACTGACCACTGGGTGGTGCACATGAGTGTAAGTGGGCAGGCATGACTACATAAAGGTAGCAGAAAGGAGTTTTGCCAGGTATGGAACTGTTCTGTATCCTGATTGCAGTGGTGTTTTAATCCATACAGATGTTAAAATTCATAACATTGTATGCCAAAAAAGTATTTGAACCATTTGTACATAATTTTAAAAACAGAATGAACAACAACAAAACCAGAGTAAGATAATGCCCTTCTCAAAGTCCTTGGATGCAAGTATCAGAAGTGACTCCAGCTTACGTAGGCAGAAAGGTGTTTTATTTGAAGACTATTGATTGGCTCACAGAATTGACAAGAAGGAAAAAGAACTAGGACCGGAAAGGTGATACTACGAAACTGCTCTGGCTAGAACCCTCACTGGCCTTGCCAACACTGGGCCTTCAGTTCCACCACAGCCACTTGTGTTCCAACTGCCAGGGGTAGGGAATATCTGGACCCTTTGGCTCCACAGAGAGTCCCAGAATAGATGGAGAGACAACAGCTACAAACGGGAGAGGTGCTCAGATGTCAGTTGGTAAAAAGAAATAAATAAAATACTATTATTAGTCCATCCTACAGATGAGACAACTGAGGTGTGCACGATTTCTATAACTTCCCGGAGATCACATAACTTCACCAGGACTCAAGGCTTGTGCTCCTAATTACTACAGGTCAGTTGGAAACATCTCTGGCTTTAGGAGAGCTTTGTGGAAACCATGGTGCCTGTCTGAAAACAGAGAAGAGAAGTAATTGGAAGCAGAAATGCCAACTTCCGCCTGGCTCTGCAATTTGAGGGAATGCTAACTCAGCTGTCTTGTTTTGTTTTGTTTTGTTTGTTGTTTAATAGCTTGACTATATTTTATCTTTGAAGTATAAACTCTGTTGTTTTTTTGGTTGTTTGTTTGCTTTTTTAGTGTATGCTGCCTCTGATATATTCTCTAGAGAAGTAGCATCCAAAATTTTTTGATCACATACCCACCAGCTAATATTTCTTAGTATTACTTCTAATATACATAAGTTTACTTATAAATTATATATACACCACAATACTTATACATGGAATTCTAACACCTAAAAAAGAAAAAATGATGAAGTAACAATACTTTTAAATACATTTATTAAAATGGCACAAAATCACTTTTTATGTCATTAACAAATTATTAATGTGAGCAAGTTACTGAATATGCTTCAAATGTCTGGTCCTACATTCAGCTTATTTTTATACTTGATGTGAATGGCTGCTATAACTAGAAAAAATTTACACTGGGAGGCTGAGGCAAGAGGATTGCCTGAGCCCAGGAGTTCAAGACCAGCTTGGATAACATAGGGAGACCTCATCTCTACAAAAAAGAAAAGATTAGGCCAGCCACAGTGGCTCATACCTGTAATCTCAGCACTTTGGGAAGCCAAGGCGAGTGGATCACTTGAGGTCAGGAGTTCAAGACCAGCCTGGCCAACGTGGTGAAACCTTGTCTCTACTAAAAATACAAAAATTAGCCGGGTGTGGTGGCACATGCCTGTAATCCCAGCTACTCGGGAGGCTGAAGCAGGAGAATTGCTTGAACCTGGGATGCAGAAGTTGCAGTGAGCTGAGATCACGCCACTGCACTCCAGCTTGGGTGACAGAGCAAGACTCCATCTGAAAAAAAAAAAAAAAAAAAAAAAAGATTAGCCAAGCGTGGTGGCATGCACCTGTGGTCCCAGCTACTTGGGAGGGAGGATCCCAAGATGGAAGGATCACTTGAGCCCAGGAGTTTGAGGCTGCAGTGAGCTACAATCAGGCCACTGCACTCCAGCCTGGGACAGAGTGAGACTGTCTCAAAAAGAAAAAAAAAGGAAAAGAAAAAATTCACAAAGATATAAATCTAAATTAAAGAAGTTCATTGTTGGTTCTGTTTATTAAACTACACTTGTTATTTTTAAAATCCCATCTACCAATTATGCAAAGGGTTTTTTGGAGGGAGGAGAAAATTTAGTTAGCTAATGTTCATTTCTGCTACTATTGGGCAAACAATTAGAAGATGTTGCTTTTTTTATTTTTAACAAATGGCTTCCAGACTCAATAAAATTTTTTCTGCTAGAAAGATTTAAACAGTTGAAAAAACTGTAATTCCTAATTTGTAACTGTCTTGCAGATGAGACTTTGTAAGTGTTAACCTGATACGTGCAACAACAAAATCTTAAAATGATGGAAATGTTTTACCAATGCTTCTTTCAAAATTCTCTCTCCATAGCACAAAGTTCTTTTGAAAAGTAGTCCCTTTCTTACTCGCTGTTAAACTTTATATTTACCTCAAAAGACTAGATCAAGATGCTTATTATTTACAAAGAAATCTGCAAGGAAGCATACTATCAATAACTCTATAGCATCAGAGAAAACATCAGCAAATTTGGTACCCTTTGATCTTTCATAAAGCAAAAGCTCATGTTTCATCTTTCCCTTTCAATGAAATTTTGCTTCCAGCTTTGGTAGACTAGGTTGTCTCAGAAGTATTTTCCCATTTAAAACAATTAGAAAAATTAAAAAAAATTCTTTTAAATTTGTTTGAAGGTATTAGAGAGCTACTAAGGTGCCAAGAAATTGTGGCCCAAGATCCAAGAGAGCAAGAAAGTGCAGAGAGGTGAGCACAGCACTTAGAGCTGCTTTTCCTTTGTAGGTAATTGACAGTCTAAAAAGTAATAGCTGAAAGGCTGAATAAGCTTTCAACAGATTCACAGGACTCGGGGAAAAATCAGAGGAGGGGCCCTGGAAATTATTTCAGGAAATGAATCCTAAGAGTAAAGCAAATTAGAAATAAATCATTCCTCTCAAAGACTGAAGCTCAGTATCAAATCATTTCAATTCTTGTTTGAATTAAGATGATTTGTAATTGCTAGCACTCCTAGCCTAGATACCTGCTTAAGCAAAAGTAATCTTCTTGGAGGAAGATAATATAATCCAGAGCTTTAAAATATTTCTTCAATGTCAAGATCTCAGTAAAAAAATAAATAAATAAATAAAAAATCAGGCAGATCAGACACAGTGGCTCATGCCTGTAATCCCAGCACTTTGGGAGGCTGAGGCGGGCAGATCACTTGAGCCCAGGAGTTCAATACAAGCCTGGGCAATATGCTGAAACACCATCTCTACAAAAAATACAAAAATTAGCTAGGCATGGTGGCATGCACTGCAGTCCCAGCTACTCAGCAGGCTGAAGTGGGAGGACATCCCGAGCCTGAGATGCAGGTTGCAGTGAGCCGAGATGGTGCCACTGCACTCCAGCCTGAGCAACAGAGTGAGACCCTGTCTCAAAAAAGAAAAAAAAATCAGTCAGGCAATTAGGCATATAAGCAGACAAGATGTAATGGAAAATCAAGAAAAAAAAACACAGACACAAATATACAAGTAATCCAGATAATAAGGTTATTAAATAAATATAAACTTAAAATATATATGATTAGTATGTTCAAATAACTAAAAGACATGTCTGGGAATGTCGGCAGGAAATTGGGAAGTATAGTAAGTAATCAAATAAAAACTTTAAAGTGGATAAAACATAAATGAAATTGAGACTTGAATGGATGGATTTAACACAAAATCATACACAGCATTAAAAATTTGTAAGCTGGAAGTAGGTCAAAAGAAAATATTTAAACTGAAGCATGAAGAGATAAAAATATAGAAAATAAAGAAAGGAGACATAGAGTGTGTGGTAAAAAAGGAAAAGATCTATAATTAGAGTCATAGAAGGAGACCAGAGGAAAGAAAGCAGAAGAAACATTTGAAGAGATAGTAAAAGAATTTTCCAAAACTGATGATAGGCATTAAGCTACAGGTTCTAGTACTTTGGCACAGTTAACTAGCAAATTTCTGTGAGGGACCAGTGGTTTTTAAAAGAGTTTGTTTGTATAAAATTAACTTATTAATGGCATCTGGTGGGCCTCTGTAACTTTTAGGCTTCACCCATTTTTTGAGTAATAGCTTGCCTATGAATCATGTGGAGAATAAGTTTCATATATGGTACTATATTTGTAACTCCAGAATCTTTTATTTATATAAGTAAGATAGAGAAAAGGAAACATCAAGAAAATTACAAGGAAGAGAAAATGTACTTACTATTCATTAAGTGGGAGTGGATCATTGTAAAGGTCTTCATCCTCATAATCTTCACATTGGGTAGGATGGGGAGGGGGAGATGAGGCGGGGTTGGTCGGTAGAGGAGATGGAAGGTGAGGGAGGAAGGCAGGCACCCAGGTATAACTTTACAAAAATACACTGGAAGTAATTTGTATCTTTTTTTGTTTTTTATTTCTCTAAACCATGTTTCTATGTGGTACCAATCCTTTCATTTGCTTTAGTTTCAATGCCCTTATCATAGAAGGGTTCATGTCATAAAGGAAGTCAAAAGCAGTCTTGAATAACTGGAACCCATCTGCCAGGTTTTCTCATGTCAATTTGTTTTCTGGCACTGCCTATTCTGCGTCTTCCTCTTCATCATCTGGCAGTTGTCTGAAAGCACTCTTCTCCACCAAGTAGTCTTCTGTTAATTCATCTGGTGTGTTGTCTATTAGCTTTTGAATTTCTCCTAGATCCGTATCTTGAAACCCTATACCCCCAACCTTTTCATCACACCCATCATCTTTTTCATGGTTTCGTTGACTGGCTCTGTCATAAATCCTGAGAAGTTACACACAACATCTGGACACAGTATTCTCTAGTGAGAATTTACTGTTTTGAGCTTGATGACTTTCACAGCTTTTTCTGTAACAACGATGGCATCTTCAATGGTATAATCCTTCCGAACTTTCATGATGCTCGCTCTCTCTCAGGGTTCTCTTCCATGGCATTGACAATCTGTCCAAAGAGTACCATGAACCATGTGTAATGAGCCTTGGGTCCTTATGACCCCCTGATCCAGAGGCTAAGTTAGAGACATTGTGTTCAGGGGCAAGTAGACCACCTCAACGCCTTCACTGTTGAACCCAGGGAGTTCTGGGTGGCCAGAGGCATTGTCCAATATCCAAAGAACTTTAAAAGGCAATCCCTTAGTAGCAAAGTACTTCCTGACTTCAGGGACAAAGCACTGAAGAAACCAATCTAGAAAAGGGGATTTTGTCCATGGATCCTTGTTGTACAACCAAAGGACTGGCAGCTGGTGTTTATCTTTTTCCTTCAAAGTTCGAGGGTTAGCAAATTTATAAATAAGGCAGTCCTGATCATAAACATGACTACATTTGCACAAAACAGTCGAGTTAGCCTATCCCTTTCTGGCTTAAATCCTGGTGTTTGCTTCTCTTCCTTACTAATCAATGGCCCTTGTGGCATTATTTTCCAGAATAGGGCACTTTTGTCTGCCCTGAAAATTTTTTCAGGCAGATATCCTTTCCTCCCAATGATTTTTCTTAATGGCATCCGGGAACTCACTTGCTGCCTCTTGGTTGGCAGGAGCTGCTTCTCCTGTTATCTGACTTTTTGAAAGTCAAACTTCTTTCTAAAATTATCAAACTTTCATTTGTTGACATTAAGTTCTCCAGCTTTAGATCCTTCACCTTCCTTTTACTTTAAGTTGTTGTATAATGACCACTTTTTCTTGAATCATGCATGAGTCTATAGGTGTGTCTTTCTTACAGCAACCCTGCACCCACATAAAAGCTGCATTTTCAGTATGATATAGAAAGGTATTTTGTAAAAAGTGCAAGAGTTCCAAACCTCCTGGCATGACTGCAGTGATGATGTCACAAATTTCCTTTTCTTTTTTGACAATGGTCCTTCTGCTGGATTCATTGATCTTAAAATGGTGGGCAACTGCAGCTATAGACATCAATCTATGACACATATCAAGTGATTCAATTTTTTCTTGTAATGTCATAACTTTTCTCTGCTTCTTGGGAACACTTCCAGCATCATTAGTGGTGCTTTGTATGGGTCCCATGGTGTTATTCAAAGTTTACTCTATTGCACTAAACACAATAATACATATTCAAGAACTGTGAGAGATTATTTTTTACTGAGATACACAATTTACTGGAGAGATGAACTGATTAGCATCAAAGGGCATTTTAAGTGGATACTTGCAACGCTTGAGCTCCCCGCAATAGCAACAGGAGGTAGCTATGAAATTATTACAGTAGTATAGTATGTACTATAGTTAATTTTATATAGCTATGATTTAATACTGCATCTTTAATACTGTATCTTTTATTTATATTTCTCTAGACTGAGACTAGTGCCATGTACAGTTTATAAATGTATGTGTGAGTTTTGATAAATTTTAACTTTTTATAATGGATTTCATTTATTTTATGTACATTTCATGATAGTGATGATAAAATATCCTAGTAGCTACATATATTTTTGAATTCATGACATACCTTTTTCCTTCTTTCAATATTTCTAGGCTACGCAGTTTATGAGTTTTTTCAAATTGTTGCAAATCTCTAAAAATTTTTCCAATATATTTATTGACAACATTTTTTGTGTAAGTGGACTCATACAGCTCAAACCCATGTTGTTCAAGGGTGAACTGTATTTCATTATTAAAATGTTCTAGGAAATACAATATATACTTTGATAGATTAGGACCAACTTCTTTCTTCTAATTCAGGAGTCAGCAAACTTTTTTGTAAAGGGCCAGATAGTAAATATTTGGGGCCTTACAGGCCACTTGTAGTCTCTGTCATAACCACTCAACTCTGCCATAATAGCATGAAAGTAGCTATAGACAATACATCACATATGAGTGTGGCTGTGTTCCAATAACACCTTATTTACAGAAATAAGCAAAGAGCCAGTTTGATAAGTAGGCCATAGTTTGCCTACTCCTGATCTATCTGCTTAGGAACTTTCCCACTCTACATAATTTTTTCACGTATTTGTATCTTCATATATCAGCAATGATTTCCATGCCTTCCAACAGTATCTCCTAACAACAAAATGCAATTTATGTCTTTGCCCTATCAGTTCCTATACATCATATCAGTCATTTCAACATACCAAGAGTTTCCCAACAATAATTTTTAAAAATATCTTAACAACAGCTAAGAAAGTAGTCTTCTAAATATTTACAATTGAGTTTAGAGAAATTATATTTGGTACTGGATTGAGTATTACATAAATTTAAACATTGCTGGAAAAAAGGTCAAGGCTTGTCTTCACATGTGGATAATCAGTTTTTTATCTTCTAATCACGATGGCTTCACATTTTCACTGGCTAATATCTTAAATAATATTATAAGAAGAGGGTAATTATTGAGGGCAGGGGATAGAAATTTATACTTGAAATGGTCTTTTTGACAGTCTCTAACTCTTTGGGTTCACTTTAAGACATCATTGTTTGAATCTTATGTGGCTGTCAAGGAGCTTGTACTATCTACAGTAGTGCCAGGCATAACATTTCCTGAATATAAACATGGGCTTACATTAATTATATTGAAGAAAATAGTATTATCTTCAGTCTTAAGTTTCTGTGCAGGAATCTTTTAAAGACATTTGTTCATGTCATAACAGTTTATTTGCTAAAAACTAATATTACCTGTTAGTCCCTTTAAATAGCACTTAGTTAACAAAAGGATAGGCCTCTGAAATGGTGAGCTTCTATTAACAGTCTTGTCTTAGGTCATCTTGTTTAACATCTGTGTCATGTGACTAACATACAAACCTCACTGTTTTAGCAAACATTTATAAAGCTTAATTTCTCTCCAATTTTTTAATTAAAAAAATGAACATAACATAGAAGTTTTTTCATTTTCTTACCATATTCCAGAGAATCTTTAGTTATTACCTGGATAGTTAGTCCCCTACTGTAACCATGGCTCTAAAAATCAAAGAACATCTGAAACAATAGTACCTTGCTCTGTTAAAATATACTTCTCTCATCTGAGAATTCCAAAAACATTTAACTATGCTCCTACAAGTTATATAAGTAGTAGCTCTTAGCCTTTTTAAGACATGGACTCTTTGACGAGCTTAATTTTGTGGAATCCTTTTTGTAAAACAGAAACGTTTACTTACTTCCTGTCTCTCCCTCTCTGTCTTCCTCCTTCCCTCCCATCTCCTTTCCTCCCTTTCTTCCTCTTTTCTTCCCACCTCTTTCCTCCCTCTCTTCCTACCTAGTTTAATCCCAAGATTTTTGAAGGTCAGGGAACTGGGTGAAGACAATGTATGTGGTATCCCTGGGGCTGCTAGGGACCCGTGCAAGAAAATTATGCCAACGAGGGCAGTGGCATCTCAGAGGCAGGTAAGGGACCGACAAGGAATATGTGGTAAGTTGGGTGGAAGAAGACTGAACAACTAAGTACAAATGTTGATGATAATTGGATCTAAGTTTTCTCATTGTTGAAGGGACTTACAAACATGGGAAGGAGGAAGGCTAGAATGAATCCTGTTGTGTTGAAATAGAATCAGAGATATCAGAATAAAGTTGTGTTTTCTAAATATATAGAGAGAGAGAGATACAGAAATAGAGATGCAAATGTGTGAACATGTGTGTATGTGTATGCATGTATATTCCTGGATCTGTCCACTGAGAAGGCAGGGAGCAACAATATCTCAATAACAGCGAGGCACCTAGTACTCAGATCTTAATGTCTAAATACCATTCTCCACAAATAGGTATAGAGCTAACTGGAAAAATGGCTGGTTTCAGGGTTGGGACAGGGAACGTTCAAATGAGCCTGAAATATGTGTTGTGTCAGAAAGAAAGAGAGTACTCAAAGCATGATGGGCACAGGTCAAAAGGCACAGAAGAAATTAGTTAGAAGGAGCTCACACTGGCCACATCTGGGACAACAGAGCAGCAGATGAATAATAGTAATAATGTATCATAACTCAAAAACCATGACACTTACATAATGAAATAAATAATATCTCACAAAGTGAAGAAGGTTTTTTGAAAAAGAAATGACAAACAAATGTGGGAAAAGGAAAGCTTCACCTTGTAGAATGAAAATAATAAATGTAGAAATGGACATTAAAACTAGTAGGGGAAGGTTTGATGACTTTGATAAATGAATAAATAAATGAAAGTATAACAATAAAAAAAACAAAAACGCAATATTGCAAAAGCCACATTGTGTGAGTTTCCACTGACCAGTGATACCAATAATAGGACACTTTGAACATCAATAAAAACAGTGTCTATAATGAATTGAAACACATCAAATATGAGCATTTCATCCAAGAGTTTATTTAAAAAAAAAAAACAAACACCTCAAATCTCATTGGCTACTTTTAACGAACTGTAGGGAACCACCACACTATTTTGAAAACTGGTAAATGAAGGAAAAGAATCAAGCATTTATTCTGCCTTTTCTATAGGATCTAAACCTCAGGGTAACCAAATGGTTGCTGAGAGAACTTTCCCTTTACAGAAGCATTCCAGTTCATAAACAATGAAGGAATTAGAAAAGCGTCATTTGCAGCCTTTAATGAATTAATGGAACCTGACAGTGAATATTCATGGCTGATAATATCACAAAAAGAAAAACAACCACACATTATGCATCTCCTGATAGCGGCACACTCCACCTATGATATCATCTTATCCAGAAAACACAAACCTGCATTGACCAAGACTGTATACCCAATTTTCAATTTAGAAAACTACATACAGGAATATGTTAAATCATCACATAAATGAAATCAGCAAAATCCAGACTATGGAAAACAACAGAGCAAATAAGTTTGTTTCTTCAACAAAAATTTGCAAGGCGGAAAAAATAAAATAAATTAAAAGAGATATAAGAGACATATCAACTAATCACAAAGTACGGACCTTATTTAGATCTTGACTCAAGCGAGCTGTTAAAAAAACTATGAGACAAACAAGAAAACATGAACATCAACCTGGATATTTGTGAATATTAGGGAATTACTGTTTGCTTGGAGTGTGATAATGGTATTATTTATATTTTTATAGAAGTCTTGATCTTTTACAGATACATACTGAAATATTTCCAGAAGAAATGATGCAGATTGAATGCAATTGTTTTAGAATCTTCCTTAGAATATTTGGGGGAGTGGAGTTAAGGTATACATAAGTAAGATGAGCCATCAGCTGAAAATTGGTGATGGTGAGTGATTTGTATACTGAGTGCTTTATCTAATTCCTCTTATTCCATCTATTTTGTATAGGTTTGACATTTTCCGTAATAAAACTTAAAAAAAAAAAAAAACTAGCATCTAATCTCAGTTAAACAAACACAAGGCCATCGCATATGGTTTGTCCAGGGCACCAATCAGGCTGAGGGGATGAGCACGGTCAGAACCCCAACTCTGGTTTCTCTGCCAAGCCATTTGCCTCGGTAGGCAGTGATGTCAGTGGGAGGAAGGGACATGTTCTTCTCAGTGGTCCATGCCAGCAGGGCCATCTGTTTGCTCTTTATGGTGGGAAGCATTTTGTTTTGCGGTTTTACATAAAGGTAAATTGAGGGTTCTCTAGACAGGGGTGGTATTTAACTAGTATCCCTGAAGACAATGTCTTCTCTAATTTGGAGAATTTCAGTGGAGCTACCAGAACGAAGGAGACACCAGCAGCAGAAGTCAGGTAAAAGCACGTATGTTTATTGCGGCACTATTCACAATAGCAAAGACTTGGGGCCAACCCAAATGTCCATTAATGATAGACTGGATTAAGAAATTGTGGCACATATGCACCATGGAATACTATGCAGCCACAAAAAAGGATGAGTTCGTGTCCTTTGCAGGAACATAGATGAAGCTGGAAACCATCATTCTCAGCAAACTATCACAAGGACAGAAAACCAAACACCACATGTTCTCACTTACAGGTGGGAATTGAACAATGAGAACACTTGGACACAGGAAGGGGAACATCACACACTGGGGCATGTCGGGGGCTGGGGGGCTGGGGAAGGGATAGCATTAGGAGATACACCTAATGTAAATGATGAATTAATGGGTGCAGCAAACCAACATGGCACATGTATACCTATGAAACAAACCTGCACGTTGTGCACATGTGCCCTAGAACTTAAAGTATAATAAACAACCAACAAAAAAAAAAAAAAAAAAAAGAAGAAGAAGAAGAAGTCAGGTGAAGACAGGAGAGAAAGAATAGGACCAGTATTATTCTTTGGGAGGCTTAGGCAGGCAGATCACTTGAGGTCGAGTTCAAGACCAGCCAGGACTAGCATCATTCTTTAAGGAGTAGCAGCAACAGGAGGAAGGGACCTGGTTGGCACAAAGTCATGGCCACTAGGAGATGCGTTAGACTCACTGCAGCCTCAGTGATAGTGGGGCGAAAAGGCATTCCCACTTCCAGTGAGAGCTTTAGACAAGGCTCAAAAAACATCTACCTTTTAATTATACTCATGCTCTTGTCCCTAAGGTGGGAGTAGCCTCGGGGAAACATAGCCTACATAACACATACCCACACACCATCCTGCCCCACTGCATGCAAAAGTTGTTGATACCTGCAGGATGCTGGTTAATATCCCACAAGTGGCCATTCACTGATTCTATCCAGTTGTGTGAACCTGTGTATTCCCAAGCTAAATCCATGCTTATTAGTCAAACGAACATTACGAGCCTAGTTTTCAATAGATACATTTCAAAACGGTGGTTAACTTTGCCTCAATTCACTATTATTTCAGAATGGCTAAATATGTATTTAAATAGCTGCTGAGAGAACTGGCATCTGGCAGGTGGCCAGCTGATTGGAAGTCAGGCCTATCACACACGGCGTCATTCTCTCAATGCCCCGACTTACACTCAAGCACAGACGCCCGGCCTCCCACACATTCCCACGCTGTGTGTGGAAGACTTAGAAGAAAATGCCTGTTCTCAGACTTGCTGCATCGGGAGCCTGACTTCTCGGCTTCCTCCCTGGTGACTTCCCGTCTTGGCTTCTGCAGGAAGCAGATCTGCTTTTCTCCCAGAGGAGGCCAAATGTCATAATAGAGAAAAAAGGCTGCTAGCAACAAGGGGGCCCAAATGAGAGAGCAGGGGAAAGGTTGGATCTAAGATTCTAAACAGATCATTTTTCTAGAATGGAGAGAGAAAAATGAAGGTTTTCCTAAAGCTGATTCATTCAACCCTCGCACTTCTCATCCCAATGCCACTGTGTTCCTTTCTGAATTCTACCCCCACCCCCATATAGCCCCTCATTGCTAGTTCTGGAAATCAGTGAGTGATAGGTTAGCATGGTGCTCATCCCATGGTGTCACCTAGCAACATGATGTTCATAAATAGCCACAATCATCTTTTCTCCATAAATGGCTAAAACTTCTTTTAAAGACATCAGGAAAAATGCTTAGCTCCTTCAGATCTAGTGTGAAATATTCCCTGGTCTCAGTTCTCCTATTCCCAGCCTTCCTCTTCCTCTTCTCAATTTGACCTCCCAGCATGTTTATTGTTTATACTTTGCCTTTTTTAAAATGCACATTTCCTTCTACAGGGTCACATAACAGCTGTTCGTGTAGAAGTCTCCCAGTAGTTTTGTAAACTTCATTCCACTCAGAAACAACTCAAAAGCCAAAAACATTCCTACTTAATTCTTATCCCTTGCATTTTAGAAGAAACCAAACTAAAAGCTGTAGAATACTAAGGCTGAGATAGAATTACCTCTAGGTAAGTTAAGATTGTATTAAATGTGCAGCACTATCAGATAAAAGTTGTAGCCTTTTATTAAAAGTTTAAATGCATAAGAACAAAAACAGTCCCAATTAACTAGATCAATACCTAACAAACCTTAATTCATAAATATGACATACATTTTTGGGGATATCTATTATATTTCAAATACTAAACTACATAATGATACAAAGATGAATAAGGTTATGCCATTGAAGGCAGTAAGAAATGTTAGGAAATTCTCATTGCAGGTGGGCCAAACAGCATTCAAGACAAGCCTCAATCTTCTAATTATACACTCTCATTGTTACAGATGGAGAGTCACAGATGAGCAACCTCTGTATAAAAGCCCTGAGGGTAGCTGGGTGTGGCAGCTTATGCCCATAATTCCAACATTTTGGGAGGCCAAGGCAAGTGGATCACTTGGGCTTAGGAGTTCAAGATCAGCCTGGGCAACATAGCAAGATGTTGTCTCTACAAAAAAATTAAAAATTAGCTAGGCATGGTGGCATATGCTACTGGGGAGGCTAAAGTGAGGGGATTGCTTGAGCCCAGGAGTTCGAGGCTATAGTGAATCGTGTTTGTGCCACTGCACTCCATCCCAGGAGACAGAGCGAGACAACCCTGTCTCAAAAAAAAAGCAAAGCAAAAACAAAACAAAAACTGAGGGCCAAGACAAATGCTGACATAACAGACTTGAGCCTGTTTGTGGTGTGAACAAGGGGCTATACAAGCTGATGCTATGTCCTATCATGGGGAAAACTAGGAGATTCAAGAAGAATATGAATCCTACTTTGGCTATGTTAAATTTGAGATGTCTAGTAGATGACCATATCAGTCAGGATCAGGCAGGAAACAGATGTACACTGGATAATGGGAGGGAGTTTAATGAAGTGACTATTATAAGAACATGGACCAAAAAACCCCCAAAACCCCAACCATGGGTGGTGAAGTACTCTGGGACAGGCCACAGCACATAACGGTTACCATCTCTAGGCTTTCGAGACAATAGGGGAAAAGGTGGGCTAACCAGAAGCCAGAGAGAGTAGCTATAGCTGTTGGAGAGGGCTGACCTCAATAGAGGGAAACATCTAACCCATGGTGAGCAGGCAAGAAGAGAGACAAGGGAAGGCATACACAATCTCACTGTCCCCTGCCTTCCCATATATTGCTAATGCATCCCATGAGGCAAACTCAACGGGAAGCCAGAGGACAAGAGAGCTTGGTGATGCAGCCCATGTGAGCCAGCCTCCCAAAGCACAGAACAGGAAAGAGATGGATGGAGAGTGGACCTGGAAGGGAAAATGGAAAATATCCAGCATCACACCCAAGGGGAGATGTTAAGAAGGCTTTTTTTTTTCCTTTTGGTTATGCAAGTCTGGGAGTCAAGGGAGAAGTCAAAATTAGACATATAAATTTGGAAGCTATTCAGTTAATAAACGATAATTAAAGCCATGTTTCCAAATGAAATCACCCTGAGAAGATAAAAGGGCCGAGACCTGAGCCATGGGCCATAATTTAGCAGTTTAGTAGAGAAGGAGGAGGTAGTAAAGGCATCTGAAAACAGCCGGTGAGTTTGAAGTAAAACCAGTAAGTGGAATTCCTAGAGCTCAAAGAAAAAGGGTAGAAGGTTGGTCCAGGTCCTGAATGAAGCTAAGAGATTAAATAGGAGTATCTTTTGAGCAGAGATGTAAGGATAAGAAATACCATGCACAAATGTAACAATTTCATTGAATATGCAGGACTTATTCAGAACTTAAGGGCACAACAAAAATCAGCTGTAATCCCTGTCTTGCAATTTTAGTGGGCTAATTTTGCCTTACTCACGTGGGTGAAATTTAGAGAGGCCCGTGATTTTTCTGGTCACCCTCAGATAATTATTTTAATTATTCCATGGCTGTGTGAATTTTCTTCCTTTCAGTTTTCAGGACTGGAAGGGCCCTTATAGCTTAGGGACCAGTGGGAGAATGCCCTTTTTCCAAGAAGGATTTCTAATCAGATAAACCAAGATGCAGAACCAGTCCTAGGCACTGGGGAAGCAGATGCATATCACTAATCATCAACACTTCTCATTTTCCCTCTCAGTATTCACTCTGCACTCTGACTTTCCTATAATTCTAGCTATCAAATGATTTCACTGTCTCTGTAGGTTATTTCCACTGAGGAAAATAGATCTGAGAACTTGGGGTATTCTGGTCCTAAGGCACTTGTGAATCAAGGGAGGACTAGAGAAAAGAACAATGCTTAACGGTATTCATTCTTTTAAAAAATATATGTGTATATATACGTGTGTGTTTGTGTGTATATATATATATATCCTACTCTGTTAGGTGTCAGAGATTGAAATGATAAAGAAAAATAAACATGGTGCCTGGTCTCATGAAAATTATAGTTTTTAATTTATTTATCACACAAATAAATGTTAGGTACATACATAGAGTTGTGAGAGGTCATAACCTGACAGGAAGTCCAGGAAAAAGCTTTCCTGAGGAAATGATGCTGGGACTGCTTGAAAGATGAGTAGGATTTAGTTAGGAGGGGAGATGCTAAGGGAGCTGTCAGGCTTGGAAATTGCATGAAGGAAGGCCCTGCAGCAGGAGAAAGCATGAACGGAAAGACTGAAAGAAGGCCAGTGTGGCCAGAGCTCTGAAGGCCGATGAGACTGTGGAGTCCACCCAGTAGTGCTAAGTGGTTGTGCTTTTGCCCTAAGGCCAATGTAGAGCCTCGAAAGAGATCAAAATAGATTTGAAGTATGGAGAAAGGACTGAGGGAAGTGGGCTGGGGCATTAAGCAGAAGTCCAGGCAAGAGCTGACAGCAGCTTGGACTAAGGGGGAGGTGCTGAGCAGTGGTCCAGGAATGGGAGTGCAGGAGAGGGTGTGTCCGGGAGGACTCTGGGTTTGCAGCTTGTAGACTGGTCAGAGGGTGAGGTTAATCACTGATTTATGGAGCAATGAAGGAGTGGGAGACTATGAATAATGTGAGGAACATTACATTTTTGTAGTATCTCTCAATAGAACCTGTTTTTAGCTATTTCTCCCTTTGGCTACGATGGGTACAAAATAATCATCAATTTTGTTAAGATGATAGGAAGTTACCGAATGTGGTGTTTTACTCTTCAATAATGAGCAGAACTTTGCATAAAGTGCATAAACATTTTCAAAGCTTGTTCACATCTAGCATTTTATTTTATGCTCACCAAAATTTCATCAGATCCCCCATCCATCCTTATTTAAAGATCAGTGCATTCACAATCTTGATCCAATTGTGATGTGTATTTCTGGGCATGTCATCAAAATCCTGCAGCTGCTAAATTCATTATGACTCTTAGACTCTCAAAGGTTTAAGGGAACATTAGCACTCACTTTCTTCCAAACCACTTATTTTGCTGAAGTCCAAAGAACTAGCTAGAGGCAGAGCCAGGATTAGACTCAAATAAAACAAGTATGAATCCAATTAATACTCACAATCTCTGATGGTTACTATGTTATTTTCATATACAGTTTTGAAAGACATAAATGGAAATTTTAAGACTCACCTAAGGTTGCTCAGCATGTCCCCATGGTGCTAATATGATAAGCCAGTTCTCCTAAAAAGCAGTCCTCATCAATCAGCACATGGCATATGGCTCAACACAATGAGCTGTGGGCATTAAAAGATGGAAAAGGCTCAGTCCCCTCACCTCTGCTCCTCCTGGGTGGGATCTGATCATCACTAGGCATTCCCCTGAACTGCCTTCTCTCAGAAAGTTGCACCCAGAACTCTGATAGAGAGAACCAAAGGGTTTAAATGAGTAGGTGAATCAGAAATGCCCACCCTGGCAAGGACCCAGGGCAGTTCTTTCAAGGTGTGCAAATGGGGTGACTGTGTGGAATTTAATGGTTATTAAATCTGAGAATAAGAAGACTGCTAAAGGGAGAGGAAGAGATAATGGGTGGTGGCCAAATAAATCAACCAACCAACCAACCAACCAACCAACCAACCAACCAGCCAACCAGCCAACCAGCCAACCAGCCAACCAACCAACCAACCAGCCAACCAACCAACCAGCCAACCAACCAACCAGCCAACCAGCCAACCAGCCAACCAGCCAACCAACTGAGCTTTACATACATAAAATCAACCTCAAAACTCCTAAGGCCATAGTAGTCTTCAGAATGAATTTTTGTGATTCCTTTATCCTTCGAGTTTGCCTTTCATGTTTATTTTAATCTGATTTGTTCTACAGAAAAATGCTGGAAGTAAGAAGTGACAGTGACCCTAAACAGAATTTGCCCTAAACTTAAATCGTATCCCTCACCCTCAAGATTCCTTCTGCCTCGGTCACCCATTCAACAAACATTCTTTAAGTACTCATCAATGTTAGGCTTTGTGCTAGGGTCTAGGGATGTAAAACAAACGTAAGAAAAGACATTCTTCCTCAAGGGGATTATAATCTAGGAGGGGAGTCACAGGGGTAAACAAATACAACCATATAAGGATAGGTGCTCATTGGCAGGTCAGCAAGTGCTGAAGATACTAGAAGAGACCATTAGGTGGGCGGAGGGTGGGGGAGGGGGCGGTGGAGGGGCAGTCTAGGGAGAGGCTTTACCAAAGATATGGTATTTCATGGAAGTGTTAAAGAATTACACATAATTTTATAGGCAACCAAGAAGATTCCAGGCAGAAGAAATACTGTGTGCAAAGGACACATAAACATGAAACTGCTGGGAAGAGACTTTCAGGTCATGGCAGGAGATGAGAGACCAGATCACAAAGGGCTCCTAAGCTGTGCTAAAGAACAGAAGCAATGCACTGCAATGTATTCTATATAAGCTCAGGCTCTTGGCATGTAGTAGAAGTTCATTTTGCTACAGTCATGCTGAGGAATAAGTAACTTCAAAAATCTGTCACTGGCAACAACAAAGTTTATTTTTCATTGGTGCTACATGTCAGCAATGGATCAGCTGAGGATCTGCTCTAGGTTGCAGGTAGGCTGTGCACCAGCCTGACATTTCTCCTCATCCTCGGACTCAGGCTGAAGGAGCAGCCCCCGCTTCGAGATGCATCATTCTCATGGCAGAGAGCATGAGGGAAATTTTCTATGTCTCTAAAAAGCACCTGCTTAGAATTTACATCCACTCACATTTCCATTGGCCCAAGTAAGCTGCATGGCCAAGACAAACAAAAGGATAAGGAAGTCTACTTCACCTACAGGAAGGTATAGCAAGGATGGGGATGCAAAATATTCTTTCACAGGAAGGAAAAGATGATTGGAAATGACAATACGATGTACAAATAAACTAAGGGGGAGCAAGGAAGAGGGTGTTGTAGTAGCCTAGATGAAAAGAGTGGCAGTGTTCTATTTACCTCTTGCTGCATAACAAATCACCCTAAAATGTAGTAGCTTAAAGCAACAACACTCATTTCATTGTTGCCCATGGTTTCTGTGGGTCTGGAATTCAGGAGGGGCTTAGCTGGGCAGTTCTGGCTGAGGAGTCTATAACATACTTGCAGTGTGGGTGTGCTGGGGCTGGGGTAGGGGAATGGGGAAGCACTTTCTGGTCATTGTAGGGACTCTCTACAGTTTGAGCATTCTTACAACATGGTGGCCCAAGGCATTTAGACTGCTTCTATGGTGGCTGAAGGCTTCAACATTGAGGATTCTACTCAACAGGGGAGAAGCTGCATCCACTTTTTAAGATCTACGCTTGTAAATTACATGGCATCCCTTCAGTTGTACTCTAGAGCAGGGATAGACAAGCTTTTTCTATAGAGACCCAGACAGTAAACGTTTTAGGCCTTGTGAGCCATATGGACTGTTATAACTACTTGAAACTACTCAACTCTGCTGTTGTAGCTCAAAAGCAGCCACCAGTCCCTATGAACAAGAATGGCTGTGTTCCAAGAATATTTAATTTGTGGACAATGAAATTTGAATTTCACATAATTTTCACATGTCATGAAATATTCCTTTGATTTTTTTCACAACTAAAAATATGAAAACGATTCTTAGCTTGAAGGCTATATAAGAACAGGTGGCAGGCAAGATTTGGCCCATAAGCTGTAGTTTGCCAACCCCTGCTCTGCTGGAGAGAAATCAGATCGGGTATGTCCACTGGCAATTGGGAATATAGGTTTTATGCTCATGAAAGATATCTGGGCCAGAATTATAGAGGTGGTGTCACCGCATTTCAGTGCTGGTTGAAGACCCCAAAGCCAATGAAAATTTCCCCACATGCACTGAGTAGAAAGCAGAGATATCCTGGGATAGAATCTTCAGGACTCCAGTATTCAAGGAGCAGCTAGATAAGGAGCCAATAAAGAAAGGTCTGAGGAGGCCCACAGCCCAGCCTCTTCCACCTTCTTTTTCCATAATAATCTCCATCTTCTTATTTCTACTTCCTTTCTCTGTCCCCCAACCCCAACCTTCCACCCTCAGACACTATATCCAAGGTCATGGGTAGAGAACAAGGCATGTCACATTTGAAATGTGGAGAAGACATTCTTCACACTCCTTTCTGTCCCATTGATTCATACAAAAACCATAATAACTTTATTTGTAAAATCATATGTTATTTAAATACGATTTAATGGCACTACTGCATGTTAAAAATTTTCTTAGAGTATTGACATAATATTTATTTATAAGTCATAATTATTTACCAAATGGAAAAAAGAACAACAAATTTAACCATACAAGTTAGCATTTGAAAACATTATTATTTGTACCTTACTGAGAAGGAAAATAAACGTCAGAAAGAGACACAAAGAGACTAAAAGTTGCTTAACTGTATTTTCTCTACTTTTTTTTTTTTTTGAGACAGAGTATCGCTCTGTCACCCAGGCTGGAGTGCAGTGGTGCGATCTCCGCTCACTGCAATCTCCACCTCCCGGGTTCACGCCATTCTCCTGCCTCAGCCTCCCGAGTAGCTGGGACTACAGGCGCCCACCACCACGCCCGGCTAATTTTTTGTATTTTTGGTGGAAACGGGGTTTCACCGTGTTAGCCGGGATGGTCTCGATCTCCTGGCCTTGTGATCCGCCCGCCTCGGCCTCCCAAAGTGCTGGGATTACAGGCGTGAGCCACTGAGCCTGGCCTATTTTCTCTACTTTTTTAGTCCCTTAAAAATCTGTTCTGAACTTCTTCAGAGTAGGGACCTTGACACTAGGTAAATAATTTCAGTAATGCACTTTTTATCCAGTGTTGAAGGTAGGCAACGATAGTTCTCTTCACACATAGGTCTGTGCAGAACAGGCAGTAATATTTGATGAGTAAGATAATTAGAAGTACAGATGATTTTGTTCATTGAGCCCAGGATAAAAATGACAAAAAAAAAAAAAATGAAAGTAGCAGAGTGTCATGACATAGCTCAAAAGAAGCAAGGCAAAAGCAGCCCAATCACATGAGGCATTCTAAGAAGATGGACGTCTAACTGCCTTGGAATGTGGCAGGGATAGGGCCCCCTCCCATCTCTGTGTTTCATTTATACGGTTTCCACATGTCTTTAAATAACATGTAGCCAATCATTCATTTATTCCGCAAATATTTAGTGAGCAGAGACACAAATCAAAATGAGGGGTACTCTGTGGGACTGAAAGATAAACAATATTTAAATAACATTCTGTCCCTGCCCAAAGGAAAATTATAGTTTTTAGGGAAGATTCAATATGTACATGAATAGGCTGCTCTGGATTGGGAATACAAAATTTTCTGTTGACCTCTTTCTTTTTACTGAGATTAGCTGGGATAGAAGCCCTGCCTAAGAAAGCCATCATTTCAAAACCTGGTTTGCTTGTAGTGATGATAGCCAAGGATCAAGAGGTTGGCATCTTTGTTTAAGAAAACATCTTAATGGGTTTTTTGTTGTTGTTATGCAAAGTTAGGTCCTGAAGTCAAGTGAGGAGAACGGTTTCCCAGTCTAATGTAAGAGGCTATCTCTTTTATGGACAGAAAAAAACTTTGCTTAATTCTGTTTTGCTATTTTTGTAGTTACTTTAGAGTTTGTAGTATGAATATTTATCAGTCCATCTTCAAGTGCTATTATAACATTTCACATATAGCCTAAGAACTTTATAATTCCCTATCTCCCCTCCCAGTCTTTGGGCTACTATTTTCATGAATTTTATTTCTACATATGTTATAAAGCACATACTACTTTGTTTTTATTTTTAAACAGTCCATATTCTTTTTAAAAGAATTAAATATGAGTAAAGTATTTATTTGCTCATATCGCTACTACCTCCAGAGCTCTTCATTCCTTTGTTTAGATCCAGATTTCTACCTGGTGTCATTTCATTCTGGCTAAAAGACTTTTTTTTTTTTTTTTTTTTTAACATTTATTGCAGTGAAGATCTGATGGTAATGACTCTTTCAGTTTTTGTATAACTGAACAAGTTGTTATTTCATCTTTGCTTTCCAAATATATTTTGGCTGGATACAGAACACTGATCTTGTTAATTTTTTCCTTGTTTATTTAATCAGTCTTGCCAGAGGTTTATCACTTTAACTCGTCTTTTCAAAACCACTGTTTGATTCTGTTGGTTTTCTACATTCTATGTTTATTTTCTAGTTTATTAAATTCCAATCTTATTTCCTTCCTTTATTTTCTTTGACTTTATTATGTTATTCTTTTTCTAACTTCTCATGATGAGTCTCATCAATTTCAATACATTATACTTTTCTAATATTAACATTTAAAGCTACAATTTTTTCTCTAAGTACTGTTTTGATTGTTCTTACATGTTTTGATATTCTATATCTGTGATTTTTATTATTGTTCCCATCTAAATAATCTGTAATTTTTATTATAAGTTCACCTGTGAACCACAAGTTATTTAGCAGTGTGTTTCTAATGTTCCTTATATATTTTTTCAAATTCCCTTTTTGATCCCTAATATCATTCAGATCAGAGATGTGTCTCTAATCAATTTTTTTAAATTTATTGAAATTTGTTTTATGTCCCAATATATAGTCAATTTTTGTAAATTTTCTAAGAGTGTTTAAAAATATATTCTGCAATTTGGGGATATAATATGTGGTCATTAGATCAAGCTTATTAATTAAAAAAGTAATAATCCTGTGAACCCACAAAATGAAAACTGAAGATGAAGGCAAAATCATTTATGTACTAATTTTACATCTCTAAACTTGATTGCTTCTCAAGACTTTGTGTTTACATATTGAAGTTCCTATTCAGCTTCTCCACTTGGGTGTCTAATATAGTCCCCTCAGGTGTGTTATGCCCTCACCATTCCTATTCCCACTAAGACTTTGTCCTTCCCCAGGCTCACTTACATCAACATCTCTCCAGATTTAAGGTCAAGGATTATACTGTTTCACTGATTTCCACCTCCTACACCATTTATTCCATTATGAAGTCCTGTTGAAGCGGCCTTCAAAACATACGTAGAATCTGTCCCTTTCTCTTCATCATCTGATCCAAAGCAAAAAACCCTAAGACTACTTTAATAGTCTCATCATTGGCCTTCCTGCTTTTTGTTTTGTCTCCCTCTTCCCCAAGGAATTCTCCATATAGTTGCCAGACTAATCTTTTACAATTGTAAATGATAAATGCCATCCCCTAGCTAAAACCCTTCAATTATTTCCTCTTGTACCTAGAATAAAATAAAAACTCCTTACCTTGGTGTACGATGCCTACATAATCTGGCTTCTGACAATCTCTCCTGTGTTCACTCTGCTCCTATCCTAGTCTTCTATCTCTTCTTGTAACCCATAAAACTTGTTTCCACCTGAGGCCTGCATTAGACAAAACAGGGTATGTTATGCTACTTTAATACACAATCCTCAAATCCCACAAAGTATCCAGTGGGACCAGGCAGCTCTCCAGCTCAACTGCTGTCCATAAGGGGACCCGGTAATTCAGGCTGCCTCAGCCTTGTGATTTCACCATCTCAGTATGTGATTGTTGTGGTAGAAGAAGAAAGTACTAGCAGGTCTTACATCAGCCTGCAAATTTTTGTATCACTTTGTCTCATAACCTATTCTCCAGAACCCATTTTCCAGAAGTAACTACCTATAGCCCCACAGGTAGGAAAATCCTCCTGTATGCCAAGAAGGAGAGCCGAGTCCAATATGAGTACAAGTCTCTACCACAGACCGGTTTCCTGTTCCTGGAATGAACTTCCCTCTAATTTTCACATGGCTGACTCCCGATTGACATGCAGGTCTCATCTCAGAAGTCACCTTCTCAGGCTGTCATTGGCCACCCAGGTGTTCTTTGTTTCAAATTAGTATTAATTTTCTGTATATAACTTGCAACATTCTGATTTGGTTTTATTATTTTTTTGTTTATTGAATACCCTCTCCCTCATCTAGAATGTAAGCCCCATGAAAGCAGATAACTTATTTGCTTTGCTTACTCTGAAGTCCCCAGACTCTCAATAAGTATTTGTTAAATAATTTAATAAAACAATTACTCAGAAATGCAAATATGATCATCTTCTCTCTCTCCCCCCACCTCTCTCGCTCTCTCTCTCTCTCTCTCTACCTCTGTCTCTCTCTGTCCCTCTCCTTAATGAATTTTTATAATCTTCAGGATAAAGTTTAAACTTCCTGACTTGAAACACAAATCTTCACATTTGTAACAACTGGTTACCTTTCATTTCATCCCCAGGGGCTGGTGTTTGGGGATACAGTAGTGTAGAATCTCCAGCTTCATATCCTATCCTTCTCTTCCCAGTACTCAGGGTTAAAGTCATATAAACAACCTAAGGGAGCCAACAAATTCCATTTTCTTTAGACAGATCCTTTTTGAATTTATTAAGTGAGGATGGAGGCAGATTAATACAAAATGTACAAAAAAAGAGATTCGCGTTCTAATTTGCCTTCATGGCTAAAGCCAAATCAATGTTCTAAAATAATTCTGTTAAGTGCTTATCACTTAAATTTGGATAAGGCTAGATTGAGTTGCTGAAACAAAAACAACAAAACTCCAAAGTACCATGAGCTTAACATAACAGGGGTATATTTCTTATTCAGGAAAAGTCCAATGAAATTCAGATTGTCCGCCTCTATCTTGTAGCTGCACCAGCTATTCATGACCACTAAGATTTTGCAAAAGGGCAAAAGAGACAAAGTCATACTAGTTCTTAACTGTCTTTCCTCAAATGTGACCCCTCACAACTCTTTAAATTATGTTGGCTAGAAGTAGTCATGCAGCCTCAACATATTCTAGGGGAAGCTTGGAGAGGTAGAGAAGCATATGAATACTAGAAAAGCACTAGCAATCTCTGCCTTAATCAGGCCATCAACTATTCCTTTGATTCTTTCCATCTACTAACAAAGACTTCTTGACTTGAGTCAGTCTCCTTGGACTAGACCCTAACCTTGGGCTCTGTCCTTAGCCAACTTAGTTCAGTTTTGGCAAGAATCCTGCTGGAACAGTTTAATGAAATTCCCCCTTCTGATACACGATCAATTTTCTCATACCACCCCCCTTGATATCTTATCTCTCTGGTCTGCCTTCAGCAAGGATCTTGTCAAGTGGGTTTAGCCACGATCTCCCTTACACCTGATGTTTCTTTGTAGAACTTTTCTGTCCGCTGGCTCCCATGCTACTCCTTAGCTATAAATCCCTACTTGTCCTGGATGTATTCAGATTTGAGTCCAATTTCTCTTCCCTACTGCAAAATCCCCATTGCTATAGTTCCTACCTCTATCACAATAGTTCTGAATGAAGTCTGCTTTATCATTTTAACAAGCATCTGAAATTTTCTTTAACACCACACAAAGAACATATTTGATCGATTCCCAAGGGAGACAACCTAAAGTACCATCCTATTGTTGCAGCCAGCTTAACAGTCTGGACCTGCGTATTTGTCGTCTTTGAGACATGGTTCTTCTCCATAGATTTATGAGCCAAGAGTCAACTTACTGGTCCACTTCTCCAACATATCCCATATGCACTGCTAAATCAAGAACAGGATAACTGCAATAGAAAATTCTCATTCAGAAAAAGGAAGAATGGTGGACATAAAGCAATTAATCGTCCATAGCAATTCTAAAATTCCACTCAGGAGACAACAGGAAGGTCTCTTACCCTGAAAATGAGAAAGAATCCTTGATTAGTCCCTAATTCTGCTCCGAAAAACTCCTTTATCCATTGCTGTGGCCCACTGCTTTGGCTTCTGAGGGATGTATTAGTTTTTTTGGAGCTGTTGGAACAAATTACCAAAATTTTAACTTACAACACTTCTAGAGGTTTAAAGTTTGAAACTTGAATACCTTGGGCTGAAATTAAGGTATCAGCAAGGCTGTGCTCCTTCTGGAAACTCTAGGTAGGGAAGAATCTGTTCTTTCCTTTTCCACATTCTGGTGGCGGCCAGCATTCCTTGGTTTGTGACTACAACCCTTGTCTTCAAGGCCAGCATCTTCAAATCTCCCTGTTCTGTCTTTACATTGCTTTTTGTGTGTGTCACCTCATGCTTGTAAGGTTTGTCTGCTCTTCCTTATAAGAACATATGAAATTATTATATTTAGGGTCCACCTGAATACTCCAGGAAAATCTCTCCAACTCAAGATCCTCGGTCACACCTGCAAAAGCTACTTTCTGATATAAGGTAACATTTACCGGTTCCAGAGATCAGGACTTGTTATCTTTAGTGGCCATTATTCAGCCTACTACAGGAGCTTATTCCATTTTTCTTATCCTCAGTAACTATCTGAACTGGGCCTTTGGAGAGTGTACAGCTTTCTCAGCCTGCTTCTTACTGGAGGAAATTTAGTGGTCCAGGGTGGGTCTTATGCCTTGAACATCACTTTTCCAGAGTTCTTGTTCTTGATTCCACTTTCTTTTATAATCTTCTAAATCAGACAATTTCTTGGGAGACAAAGGTAACTTTGAAAATTAGATAAAACTACTGTTAATAAATAATGATTTCAAATAGCCAAGGAAAAAGAACAAAGCTGGAGATAACATGCTGCCTGACTTTATACTACAGGGTTTCAGTAATCAAAACAGCATGGTACTGGTAAAAAAATAAACACATAGACCAATGGAACAGAATAGACAGCCCAGACATAAGGCTGCACACCTATGACCATCTGATCTTCGACAAAGCTGACAAAAACAAGCAATGGGAAAGGACTCTCCATTCAATAAACGGTGCTGAGATAACTGGCTAACCATATGCAGAAGATTGAAACTGGACCCCTTCTTTGCACCATACACAAAAATTAACTCAAGATGGATTAAAGACTTAAATGTAAAACCCAAAACTATAAAACCTTGGAAGACAGCCTAGGCAATACCATGCTGGACGTAGAAACAGTAGACAACCTAGGCAATACCATTCTTTGTCCATTGGGCAAAGGATTTCATGATGAAGACACCAAAAGCAATTGCGACAAAAGCAAAAATTGACAAATGGGATCTAATTAAACTAAAGAGCTGCACAGCAAAAGAGACTATCAACAGAGTAAATAGCTTACAGAATGGGAGAAAATTTTGCAAACTATGCATCTAACAAAGGTCTAATCTCCAGCATCTGTAGAGAACTTAAATACATTTACAAGAAAAAACAACCCGATTAAAAGTGGGCAAAGGATGAGAACAGACATTTTTCAAAAGAAGACAAACATGCAGCCAAAAAGCATATGAAGAAAGTTCTACATCACTTATCATTAGAGAAATGCAAACCAAAACCACAACAAGATACCATTTCACATCAGTCAGGATAGTTATTCTTAAAAAGTCAAAAACTAACAGATGCTGGTGAGGTTGCAGAGAAAAAGGAATACTCATATACTGTTAGTGGGAATGTAAATCAGTTAAACTATTTTGGAAAACAGTGTGGTGATTCCTCAAAAACCTAAAAACAGAAATACCATTCAACCCAGCAATCTTGTTACTGGATATATACCCAAAGGAATATAAATTGTTCTATTATAAAGACAGGTGCACGCATATGTACACTGCAGCACTATTCACAACAGCAAAGACATGGAATTAATCTAAATGCTCACTAGTGGTAGACTGGATCAAGGAAATGTGGTACATATACACCATGGAATACTACACAGCCATTAAAAAGAATGAGATCACCTCCTTTGCAGGAACATAAATGGAGCTGGAGGCCATTATCCTTAGCAAACTAACACAGAAACAGAAAACCAAATGCTGCATGTCTCACTTACAAGTGGGAGCTAAATGATCAGAACACAGGGATAAGAAGAGGTGAACAACAGAGACTGGGGCCTATCAGAGTGTGGAGGGTGGGAGGAGAAAGAGAATCAGGAAGAATAATTAATGGATACTAAGCTTAACACCTGGGTGACAAAATAATCTGTACAACAAAACCCCATGACACAAATTTACCTACATAACAAACCTGCACATGTACCCCTGAACTTAAAAGTTAAATTAAAAAATAGAAATAAAATAGATAGGGTTGGACGCGATGGCTCACGCCTGTAATCCCAGCACTTCGGGAGGCCGAGGCGGATGGATCATGAAGTCAGGAGATCGAGACCATCCTGGCTAACATGGTGAAACCCTGTCTCTACTAAAAATACAAAAGTTAGCCGGGCGCGGTGGCAGGGGCCTGTAGTCCCAGCTACTCCGGAGGCTGAGGCAGGAGAATGGCGTGAACCCGGGAGGTGGAGCTTGCAATGAGCCGAGATCGCGCCACTGCACTCCAGCCTGGGCGACAGAGCAAGATTCCATTTCAAAAAGAAAAAAAGAAAAAAAAAGAAAAGAAAAGAAATAAAATAGATAGTAATTTATTCCTGGTTAAAACATCACGCATTATTAAGTTTGCTTTTACTAAAAATTAAGTGGAGAAAATTAAAAGACTAAGAAAAGTATTCATATTGAAAATAATGGGTTTTAAATACTTAAGAGGAAATAGTTTCTAATAAGATGCACACAGGTTAAACCTATGTCGTCAGAAGTGGAGATGACTTTAATCAACTGCCGATCAAACTACAGGGAGTAATGGGTAAGTGCCAGCATTTGCTAAGCACAATGGACTTAATGCTGCCCCATTACAAGGAAGCAAATAAAGGCCTCTTTGTTAGAATATAAGGCATTGCAGAAACAGGCTACAGAGGCTCACACTGACCTTCTAGTTAGTCATTTTCTTTCTAAAAATTTCTAAGCATAGACTTAACATTTTTAAGTGGCTTTGATATTGATGGGCGTCATGAAAGTAACCACACAGTCAGTCCTTCAAAGATTTAGTATACTTGAGTGTTATTTATGGGTAAGATAGGTCAGTGAGTATACCAGAAAATGCAGAATAAGAGAAAATACAAAGACAGAAATTTGAAGGGAAAAAAGAGACAATGCAGGTTGAGCAAAAATAATAAATAGAAATAAAAGAAGACAGACCAGGGATTTAAGAAGGGGACAATGGAGATGAACCCCACAGGAGTAGAATGGAAGCCAGGAAAGAATGGGAAGCAGATAGACCAGGGTTTGAATTTTAGCTCTCACACTTAAGAACATAGCTAAGTTTCTCAATTTTTATATGCCTTGTTTCATGTGTGAAATGGAAGTAACCATGCCTACATTACAAAAGTATTGAGTAATTAAGTAATATATGTGAATGTGTTCAACACATTGTCTGGTACCTAACAGGCATACAATAAATGTTAAATTCTCTTTCCTCATTACTTGTACACAAAATACAAGTAGGAAGGAAAGGAGGAGAATAAGGAAAATAATTGTCCAATTAAGAAAAAACAACAATTAATCCTAAAACTATGATAATGGAAAAGATGAATATTCAGTGAACATAAAGTAATGAATCTTTCTAAAAATAAAAGACCCTGAGGTGAGTGAGTAGAAGTAGGAAAGCTGTTATAGAAGTATAGGCAAGAGATCATTCAACCTTGGACTGAGATGGCAGTGGTGCCCATGGTGAGGACTATTCAGGATTGAAATTTATTTTTAAGTTGAATCTCTCGTTGGTCTGTATTTAAAGCATGAAGCAAAAAGATGAAATCTCTGAACAACTGGGTGAATTATGATCATTTCTTAAAATAAAGCATCCTGGAGGTGGAGCAGGTTTGGAGGGGAAAATCAGTTCTGTTTTGGCCTCATTAAAACTGAAATGCCAGTGAGACCCCCAGTAGGTATGTCAAGTAGAAGATCTAAATGTGGATACCACAAACAGAAATAGGGCATTTAACTCTCTAAGCAGGGAGTATTGCTAGAGAGAGTTTATTGCTGCACCCTGAAGAATTCCAGCTTGTAGTGCTTAGAGAAGTGACAAGTGAAATTTGAGGAAACAAGGATAGTGTAGCATCAAGGAAGAATGTGCCAAAAGTTGCTCAGTGAGGTGAGGTCTAAAAAACATCCATCACATTTAGACATGTGGAGGCAGTCAGGGGCCCTGTAGAGAGCATTTCAGCAGAATGCTTAGGACAAAGCCTCAGGTAATACAATACCACCCCAACAAGATCTGAAACCAGCCTGTAATCCCAGCACTTTGGGAGGCCGAGGCGGGAGGATCACGAGATCAGGAAATCGAGACCATCCTGGCTAACACGGTGAAACCCCGTCTCTACTAAAAATACAAAAAATTAGCCAGGCGTGGTGGCGGGTGCCTGTAGTCCCAGCTACTCGGGAGGCTGAGGCAGGAGGATGACTTGAACCCAAGAGGCAGAGCTTGCAGTGAGCCGAGATCATGCCACTGCACTCCAGCCTGGGCTACAGAGTGAGACTCCGTCTCAAAAAAAAAAAAAAAAAAAAAATCTGAAACCAGTATTGGGTTTTCTTTCCTTTTGAAAGGCCAAATAACAGATTGCAAAATTTCCCACTTGAAAACCTTCCAGTGAATTCCTATTACCCTCAGAATAAAAGCTGAACTCTTTACCACGACTTCCAGATTCCCAGAAGATCTGGCACTTGTGGTCTTACCTCCATCCAAGAGCAGCCTCACCCAGCCCTTCCAGCCCTACTAGCTTCTTGCTCTTCATTAAGAAGCCAAGTTCCCTTCTATTAAGAGCCTTTGCATTCATTCTCCTCTAACCTGCGTGGTTCCTTCCCCACTTATGTGCATAGCCTTCCCTGACTACTGTATATGAAACCTCTTTGGGAGGCCGAGGCGGGCAGAGCACCTGAGGTCAGGAGATCGAGACCAGCCTGACCAACACGGAGAAACCCCATCTCTCCTAAAAATACAAAAATTAGCCGGGCTTGGTGGCTCATACCTGTAATCCCAGCTACTTGGGAGGCTGAGGCAGGAGAATCGCTTGAACCCGGGAGGCGGAGGTTGCGGTGAGCCGAGATTGCGCCACTGCACTCCAGCCTGGCAACAAGAGCGAAACTCCGTCTCAAAAAGAAAAAAAAAAAAACAACCATACCTCCTCCACATCCTTTAGGTAGTCAAGCTTACCTGGAGATTTCTTTTTCCTATGAAAGAAATCTACACTAGGTAGGCTATTTCTGATCTTGCTTTGGCAAAAAGTGAGTTGGAAAAGGCAAAGAAAATCTTTTGAATACAGGCTCACATGATTACAGAGCTACTGACTTACTTAAAATGCTACCAGCGACAAGATTCCAATGGTTTCCAGTAAGGGACTCTTCATTCACCTACGCTCTAAGACAAAAACCCACGACAACAAATAAGATAATACGTTTAAAATTACTTAGAAAAAATAATGGGTTTGAGGAAAAGTGAAAATGAAGTTTAAAGTTTACCATTTCTATAAGTTTGTACTCCATAGTTCAACTTAGTCTTAATTTTCTAGTTGGTCCTAGGTCCTGCGGTGTTCTTTCAAGTCACCATCATCTGATTCTGCAATCCCACTGTAAACCATTTTTAGATTTTGTCTAGATCTGGGAATATCTCAATCTGAAGATCACTTTTTAGTTACAGTATGAAGTATTTTCACCTTCTTAATCACATTTAAAATACAGACTATCTCTTATTAAAAATAATGGCATCCAAGTGATTCATTCAATGCCTACCTTCTAATGTCAATAGTGAGAAGACTTCTACTAAGATAGTTACAGTGGGGATAGAAGAACATGGACAGACTTGAGGGATACTTAAGAAACAGAACTGTAGGAAATTGAGAACCAATAGTGAAAAGTAAGGGGAAATGAGAAAATAAAGATGAAGGCCAGGTGCAGTGGCTCATGCCTGTAATCCCAGCACTTTGGGAGGCCGAGGAGGGTGGATCACTTGAGCTCAGGAGTTTGAGACCAGCTTGGGCAACATAGCAAGACTCTGTTTCTACTAAAAATAAATTTTTTTTTTCTCTAATGACCTGGTTTCTGGCTTAGCCCACTGGATAGGCAGTGGTGTCACCTCAAGGCAGAGAGAAAAAAGGTTTGAAGAATGGGGGAAATATGTCAGTTTTGGGCATATTGAATTTAAGGTACTTGCAAGAAATGTATTTTAGGCAGTTGGATATAGAGTTTAGTACAGATTGTGTTACTGTGTATGTTAAGTGAATGACAACCTTGCAGTAGTATCTAAACCTTCTTGGATCCATTACTACATTTATAAAATGAGGGTGTCGTACTGATCTTTAAGGTGCCTTTCAGCCCTAAAACTTCAGTGAATTCAACTTTATCATTTTATTATTTAAATAATTTGGTTTGGATCCCCATTTTCTTCTTAGACTCTAGAGAATCATGTTATTGTTAGCACTTTAGTTCAGCAGTTTTAAACAAAAACTATTAACCAGTTAGAAGCTTGTGAATTCATACAACTTTGTTTTCTCTTAAATTTTAAGGGATTGCGAATCATTTGCTTCCCCTACCAACGGAAGACATATATTCAAGCTTGCTGGACTTTCTTTGGATGAATACAAGAATTTTTAAAGAAAATGTAAAATATACTCATGAACATTTCTTCTCCATGAATTCTTCCTCTCATAGATTTGGAGAAGTTGGAGAAACATTAATTAATAGAAAAAAAGGGGAGAGGAAAACGTGGAGCACAAAAAAATGGGGTTTGTTTGGCAAGAAAAATAATCTACAAGGAGATGTATCACAATACATTTTAAAAGGAAAAAAACCAGCACTTAAATTGGTGCCTTGCAACTGGCAATACGAAACTAAGTGATAGAAATGAAAGACAGGTTTAAGTTAAATTTTAATTTAAATTTTATTGTTGAGATAATAGTCTTGACATTTCAATACTGAATATTCTGGAATTCTTTGTCCTCCTTTCTTCCTAATTGCACATAGCATCTTGGTTATTATAAATTATTTCCAGGTTAACAGAACCAGTAATTTTGAGAGAATACTAATCTCATTGTGGGAAACATGTTTCAGTAGTAGTCCTGGCCGGGTGCGGTGGCTCATGCCAGTCATCTCAGCACTTTGGGGAGGTCGAAGTAGAAGGATTGCTTGAGCCCAGGAGTTCGAAACTAGCTTGGGTAACACAGCATCACCTTGTCTCTACAAAAAAAGAAAAAAATTAGCTGGGTATGGTGGCAATTGTTGTGGTCCCAGCTACTTGGGAGGCTGAGGTGGAAAGGTTGTTTGAGCCTGGGAGGTCAAGTTTGCAGTGTAATGTGATTGCTCACTGCACTCCAGCCTGGGCACAGAGCGAGACTGTGTCTCCAGAAAAAAAAAAAAAAAAAAAGTAGTCCTGACAATAAATGCAACTTTGGTTCCCAAAAGAGGCTCTGTGGAATAACTGACAGATGAATCGCTCATCATTTGGGGGGGGGGGGGCGGGGGGAGCGGGAGGTCGGAAGAGTACTGTATACACGGCTCATTTTAGAGCATTGTTTCCTACTGCCTCAAGGAGAAGTATTGCTGCTTTGGTGAAAATGAATCCCTCCAATAAAATACCACCAATTGAGCAAAATGAACAATTCCACAAACTGAACTATGTATGTTTTTAGTGCTTCCCATTGGATCAACTCACAACTGGCATATCTTGAAGCATTATCACAATTATCCTCCAATTTAAAAAATTCCCATGCCATACTGTGGATCACGTACCACAACTTAGTGAGATAGGGGGCCCAGAAATGGACAAGGGAGAGTAGAAATTAAGAAATTATTCCTTTATAAAACAAAATTACTCCAGCTTAAAATAATAAATAGAATTTCATTTTAACAGAATGATTATTTTATGAAGTGTATCTGTGACTCCTGTAACAGAAAGCTGAAACTGCATCAGGAAGAAAAGCCTATGCTTTGGAGTCAATTTGTTTCAGACCTGGTGCCTCTGTGTTATCTGGTATTTTGACCTTTTGATGCCCAAATCTCTTCCTTAGAAAAATAAGGAAGATAATACTTACAAGGTTACTTGAGGATTAAAAGTAATCATGTATAAAATACATTATGTAACAAAAATAAAGACAAAAGAAACACTATTTCAACTGTGATTTTGTTAAGACTTTTATTATGAATGTATTTTTTGAACCATCATTTCAGATCTCACTAAAACTGCAAATCTTAGAGCAGTTCAATTTAAAGAGTGACTACAGCTTTCATACCATTGATGTCGATGTCTTTTTCTTTAAGGAGCACTATGTGCATGACACTTATATTGATAGCCAAGCTAGAACCCTAGTTTCAATTTCCTTGTTATAAAAGCTATTCTACTTACTTGTGGGTATTAACTTGATGTGAAGAATGTAAAGCAAATTCTGAAAAACCTGTAAATAAGCACATGAGACTACATTTCATAATTAATGGTAAAGATACAGTTACTCCTTGATTTTTCAAATAAACTATAATATAGTAATCCAACTTATTCTAGTGTTGAGATACACTATAATTTTTTATTACTGTCCTAATAACCTTTCCTTTAGATTATTCGTTATTTTTGGTTATATGGCGAGTTAAGTAAAACGATGAAACTGACTTGAATATAAAAAAATCAGTAGTCCTGGGTTAAACAATTGCCACTTAAGGTCATTAGCTTAGCTGCAACATGTTACCAAACCAATAAATATAACATTATTAGCTTAGAGACTTAAAAAAAAATCTGAATACAATTAAGGATGAATAAATATGTTATTAAGATGAACTATATGTGAACTTTCAGTTTAAAAGTATACTTTTAAAGAACAGAGCTAATTATCAAAAGCTTCCATTTTTACTTTCTCCTCCAGTAATTATCTCTTATGTGATAATTTGATAAGCTCTAGGAGAATAAGAAAAAGTCCTTTTATAATTCATGACAGGTTTAATCAGGTAATTCCAGGAGGGAAAAAAACCATTAAAACAAATTCTTATGATAATCATCTGCTATGTCCAATTACACGGGTATGAAGTAACAGAAATGGTTACAAACTTATAATGTATTATTTACATTATATACTCAAAACTATCAAGCTAGTTAACTATATCTGAGGAGACACATTATGACATGAGTTAAACAGTTTTTCATTGTTCATTAGAAAGAATGCAGTCAAGCTTTTAATGGAAATAATATACAAGTGAGGCACTTTTGAGGTCAGAAATAGAAAGCAAACGACACTACACACTGGAAATGTTCACAAAAATCTATGTGTATTTTTAATACAAAGACTTTTCAACTAGTTTATTCTTGAAAAAATTTCAAAACAACTGATGCAATTTAAGAAGCTTTCAGGAATAATGGCTAACATTTATCAGTGTACCAAAGCATATGAATCTTTTATAACCACCTGGCTGCTAGGCAAACAGTACCTAATACCTTAAAGCCTTTTTTTTTCTTTTGGTTTATATAAATCACCTCCGGTTGTGTTTCTCTCTTAAAGAAATTCATTCTTCATGTTTGTCTCATTGCAAAACACCTCATGGTGCTATTATGATTTATAGACTTTTTTAGTGCAACAATAATGCCAGTTTCTAGTGCTTCCTCTTACACTTTGAAGTGTGAACATGGAAGTCAAATCAAGAATGAGCATAATAATTAGTAAAGAATCCTTGCTTTTCAGGTAACTAAAGTTTTCTAAGTTTTATGTGGAAAAAATGTTACACTTGCTTAATGCACCTTTGGGCTACAATTAAAAACCCAATTTAACACATACTTCCAAGTGTAATCACAAAATCGAATGTAAATTTCAACACAAGAAATATCCTTAAGATTCTTTACATTGACCATTTAGAGGAAAGCACATTTCCTGTACTCTGGAGACTCACGTGCATATTAAGAAACATTTCCGTGCCATTTAATTAAGGGGGCAGGGGAGAGGAAAAAGAAAAGAAAAAGCAAGACTTACCCAAGATATCAGATGGCACTATACACATGAATTGAAAGTGCATTTACATTACTTCAAAAGCTCATTTTAGGCACTGCTGAATAACCAATGAAAATAGGTAGTTTCAAGTTTTTCCCTTTAGATTTTAACCCCACCCCATCATCATTTCAGAAACATACACACGGCTGGGCGCAGTAGCTCATGCCTGTAATCCCAGCACTTTGGGAGGCCGAGGTGGGTGGATCACCTAAGGTCAGGAGTTCAAGACCAGCCTGGCCAACATGGTGAAACCCCATCTCTACTAAAATACCAAAACTTAGCTGGGCATGGTGGTGGGTGCCTGTAATCCCAGCTACTTGGGAGGCTGAGGCAGGAGAATCGCTTGAACCCAGGAGGCGGAGGTTGCAGTGAGCTGAGATCGCACCATTGCACTCCAGCCTGGGCAACAAGAGTGAAACTCCGTCTCAAATAAAAGAGAGAAAAACGTACACACACACTCTCTGAAGCTGTCATGATAAAATACAGGTGTGATTATGTTTTTTCATGTTTTGATTATTATTTTTAAAAATTCTCCCTGACTGGCGGAAGGAGGAAAAAAATACCATTTTGGTAATGGCTTTTGAGAGTTAAAGCAACTGGTTCTATAAATGCCTCAGTACATCCATTAAGTTTGATTGCCAGTCCCAAATATCAACAAATATTTTAAAACAGGATATGTAAGAAAAAAGTGCTTAAAATCTTTCAGCAAGCCAACAAGACACATTAGGTAAATAACCATTTTACAATTCCTTTGAGACAGTTCTTATTCCTGGTTTCCCTGGTAGAGGTGGTCACCACATAAATAGCCCTTTAATGGTAGTAGTGATGAACCCTGTCAGATCCCTATTGCCATCTCATGTCTCTGGCCTGGAAATCATCCAGTAGGTGGTGCTGAAGCTCCACACGACATACTTCTTCAGAAATCAAATGATGTCCCTTTTGAAGCCAAGAGAAATATTTAAGAATTATCAATTCTGAACAAGTTCATCAGACCAGTCTTGCTTGTCATGCCGTCTAGATGATTCCATTTTCAATACTATTACTCAAGCAGTTGTCTTGAGCCATCTGCTTATATCAGATAAAAACAAAGAAAAGTTTTAGAGGAAAAGCCAATTGGCAGTGCCGAATCTGTACAGAGAATGAGAAAATGTTCCTGAAGGTGCCTATACACATGTTTAAGAATCAGTGATTTAAACTACCCATTTGCTTTCACAAAGGAATTCTCATTTACTCAAAAGAAAATTTCCATATAGGGATTCAGAGAACATTATATCATCAGTTAGTCTTGTAGACTGATTAAGAAACTGGGTATGTTAACTATAAAGATCCAAGGTAAAATAAAAACCATTTCATCACCATAGTTTTTAATGAAGAAACTTGTTTAAAATTGTAAAGGAAAAAATGGGAATGGGACGGCAAAATCTTAGCAGCAAAGTGGTTAAACAAATTGAAAATATTAATGCACAAACATTAAAATATTAAAGCATATATGTTGCATATAAAATACAGTACAGAACCAGGAGTTGCACTATACTGATTAGTGCTTAACAGAAGAAATGATTAAATTTGTTCCTCCCAGAAGTATATACACAGTTCATTTCCACAGCATTTTCCTATATAGCCAGCAAGTTATTTTCTTCAGTTATTCACACCTTGATCAAACCTGAATTATAAACTTAGCACTTACAAATATGAAAATTCATTCACAAGGAAAAACAGTATTTCCATTTCACCAATAAAAATTTTGAAAGTTAACAGTCTATTCTAGGAAACCAAGTTTAGCTGAAAACTTCAGGGATGAAGATCATCTGTTGTAGCAGCATTCAAATATATAAACAGTAAAAATAAGACTTAAAACTGCTGCCTACAGTGTCATGTTTTGGATTTAGTTCATCCAATTGATTTTTAGTACAAAACTAGAAATACCCTCTTCTTCATAACATCTATAGTTATCAATATATTTTCTTCTTTTCAATGTGAAATAATACTTCAAGATGATCTATATACACAATGTTGTCAGTTCAAGCTGTCATATAAATATAAATGCTTTCTTAAAAAAAGTATTTTACAGACAGATAGTGTTATATACATTGTTCAGTTTGATCTGGGGCAAAAGAAAAAAGCTAACACAAGCTTAAGTGTGATATATAAAAAGAATGATACATAAATGACGTTTAAAAACCTGCATAGAAAATGAGCTTCAAATAGTAGTGTGATTTTAATTTTTATCACCTCTGAAACTTCAAGCCATTAAAAAAAAGGCACACTTCTCAACTTTATCCCTCTAAGGGAATGTTCTTAAAGAACCCTTTCCTTGGTTAGAGTTTTAATGTAACACTTAAGAAAACAACAACAACAACAACAAAACAAAAACAGACAATTTGACTTCAAGGTACTTTAAAGTTTGTTGGAACATTTACCCAACTATTTTGTAAATTAAACATCCAGTAATATAATGCTCTGCAAAAGAAATAAATTTATATGTACAAGATACTTCATTTACAATGTTGGATTAAATACTTTCCTGGGATAGTTTAGCACACATTTTAACATAAAATAATTTTGCTTTTGGCCAGTTTAAATAAAAATAAAATGTAACTGATAAAAAGTTATTGTTATGTAAATAATAAGCACTGAGGATTAAGCTGAAAAATTAGTAACACAGCTGAACATATTCTGGTTTAGCAGAATGATACGTGAAGATCTCAACATGAAGCTTTTACACTAACTATCCAGTCAAACTTTCTGCCTTGTAAAACATTTGTAAATGCAATATAACTTTTTGAAGGAGGAAACTCTGAAAGAAAACAACTTGCTGGTTGAATACCACAAAAAACAACTAAAAAACTTCACTTTTTTTCTATAATGTTTGTTTACTCAGTCTCTTTTTATATAAAAATAAGTGTTACGTTCCCATCAGAACATTAGACAATTACATCTGTGCTTTAAAAAAAAAGTTGGTCACTCAAGGCTATTAGAGTATTTTTAAGGATTTTAGATTACCAGAATGTACAGATATAACTCAATATAAATTGTAGCCAAAGAGAAATAAGGATGAAAATATCAAATCATTCGCATGGAATAAAAACATTATTAACTAGATGAGTTAAATATTCAAAATATATGGAATGTGACAGTAGATATATATATATATATATCTACTTCAGAACTAGGAAGGGGAAGAAAAGTTTAATATGTAATAATTCGTACCTTACATTTAGTTAAATATAAACATTTGTTATTTATACATAAAACTGCTTTCAAAAAACAACTAATAAATGATTTAGTTGCACTTGTTTTACTTCTTGTAATTCCCAAGTGTTAACTTTTCTTAGATTGAAATCAACTGTCCCCTAGTGCACTTTTATTTTTAGTTCGTGTCCTAATAAATTCAAACCTTTAAAAGTCCCATCACCTAATGCATAAATATACAAAAATGCCAAAAATTAATCCCTTTTAGTTGGATCATATTTTATGCTGACTTTTTATAGCCAAATAACCAGAAATGGTTTCCTTCTGCAAATACTCTACAACCTGTAACAAAACATGCCATGCACTCAAGGGAAAAGTTAGGCATGGCGTGAAACGCCAAGAACTGATGAGTTCTGCTTCCTCCATGTGTGGGCTCAATGATACCAGGCAAGATTCCATATTGCTTGCCAAAAGCTTCCACAAATCCAAGTTAGCTAATTCCTGGAAACAAAGATTTTAAGCTCATTTTGGCACTGGACCATTTCATCCAGCAGCTTTATGTTTCCCACCACAGCAACCACATGCCTCACCACAGCGATGGCACATTCTCAAAGGGACGTAGCAGCACATACATGGTACAATGAAAGACAAAGCTACCAGGGCTAACCATCGCAAGCAGAACTTGTCGTCGCTAGTGTCACACGAACAGGGATCAGAAAAATCTCCCTCTGAGTCTGACATACAATGATACAACATGCTCTCTGCACAGAGCATGCAACTAACTTGATATATGCATCTTTTAATAGGGTCTGGAGCATCCTGACATTTTCCCCTAACATTTTCTTCATGATTAAACCTTTCCTGGCAGTATACGCAGCGAGAACGTTCACCATCCTCTTTTCTTCGTTTTGACTTCTTAATTTTTAATGAGGAAGGCTGCGTCTTAAATACCACAGAGTCTTTGGGTGAACTTAACTTAGTCTCATCCCCACAAGAGTACAGATAGTCTGATTTTTTACTGTCTGGTTTAGAAAACTGAATACTGGAATCAGCATCATCTCTTTCCAAGTCATTTTTCCACATGTCAGGATGTCTGTAGTCTGCATAGCGACGTATTAAGATATCTCGAGGGTTTATTCTGACAATCTCATCCTCATCTTGAAAGCTGACATGTCTGATTGATTTCAAAGGGACCTAAAAAAGAAACAGATAAAAACTGCAATGAGGGCTATGATGGTTAATTTTACGTGTCACCTTGGTGGGGCCAGTGTCCAGATATTTGTTGAAATATTATTCTGGACATTTCTATGATATGTTTTTGGGATGAGATCAACATTTCAGTTGGTGGACTATGAGGAAAGCACAGTACCTTCTGTGGTATAGGCGGACCTCATAAAATCAGTTGAAGGCTTTACTAGAACTAAGACTGAGCTCCCCCTGAGCAAGAAGAAATTCTGCCAGCAGGGTGCCTTTGGACTCAGACTACAACTATTTCTTGGGTCTCCAGACAGCCTACCCTGTTTTGGATCTGTACCTCTACTATTGCATGAGCCACTTACCCACACTTGATTGAAAGACGTTATTTAGATGAGATTTGGGACTTAAGAGTTGATGCTGGAATGGGTTATGTCTTTGGGGCTGTTAGGATAAGGATGAATGTATTTTGCAAGTGAGAAGGGCATGATTTTGGGAACAAAGGACAAAATGTTATGGTCTGACTTATGTCCTCTTCAAATTCATATGCTGAAGCCCTAACCTCCAGTAATGCGACTGTATTTGGATATAGAGCCTTTTAAGAGGTGACTAAGTTAAAATGTGGCCCTTAAGAGAGACTTTAATCCAATCTGACTGTTTTCTTTATGAGGAAATTTGGACACACAGAGAAAGACACCAGGGATGTACGGGCAGAGGAAAGAGCATGTGAGGGCAAAGTGAGGAAAGACCATGTGAGGGCAGCTACCTGCAAGCCAAGAAGAAAGGCCTCAGAAGAAACCAAACCTACCAACAACCTTGATCTTGAACTTCTAAGAATTGTGAGAAAATAAATTTCTGTTGTTGAAGCTACCCAGTCTGTAATATTTTGTTGTGGGAGTCCTAGCAAATTAATACAAAGACACACATGTGTGTAGCTTGGGTACACAAAAAGTCTCTGAACAATGACGTAAAATACCCCTACTTCCACAACCCTTCTGGGAAGGTTGGTTCTTTGAGGCCAAAGAACAAAATTAAGTCTTTTGACCCCTTACATCATCCATAAATGCAGGCTTCTAAGTAGACAAATTTGTATCTTTAGCTCCAGTCCCTGGACACAGTGACTAGTCTACTACAAGTAAGCATCTGACTCAGTTTGGGGCAAACTTCTATTTCCTAGATACATGGAATTAGGGCTAAGAAAATTCTAGGTCTGAGCTAAAGGTGGGGTGACAGATACAGTTTATTTAATTAACAATATATAATTCCTTTTGGTCCTATCTAATAAATGCAGCTCTGGCAATCTTTTAGACTCAAATGAGAAGTTTGCAGAGTTTTTAACTAACAGCGTTTAAGCACATAGGCAGCAAATTTATACAATGAAAAATTTTCTAGTACAATTCAACTATATGGAGAATTAGAAAGACTGGAAAACTTTACCTATCTATTAATTAGTTAAATTCCATATCACAAGATAAACTAACATTACTTACCCTATTTTGGGACTTTAGGCTTCCACATTCCTTGGATATTTGCCGCTGTACGTATTCCATACTTCTGCTCTGAATGTCCAAGCCTGGCTGACCAAATGTTATCTAAAATACAAACAATTTCTACTTAAATGACACAAGAATTTTACTTTTAATGAAACTGTACAGTGTATGTTCCAAAACCTCATAATTTATTAGCAGTAAAGTTTTTCAAAAACGGTTTTGAGAATAAAAATAGAATCATTTCCCCCCACCTAAAACACAAACAAAAACCATAGGTCTTTTCTTACATATTTAAACTTTAACAAGTAATGAATACATAGTCAAAAAAGTACAAACAACCCAAATATTCATCAACTAATGAACGGATAAACAAAATGTAGTAAATCCATAGAGTGGAATATTATTCAACCACAAAGAGAAATAAAGTAGTTACACATGTCACAATAATGGTTGCCAGGGGCTGGGAATAGGGAAGGAGGGGCAATGACTGATAATCAGTGTGGGTTTTTTGGGAAGTGATATGGAATTTGATACTGCTGATGGCTGCACAATCTTGTGAATATAATAAAAACCACCAAATTACATACTTTTTTAAAGGATGATTTTGTGGTAGGTGAATTATATAGCAATAAAAAAATAGGAATCTTTAGTGTCCTGATACATTTACAAGTGTTTCGAATTGCAAAGCCCATTTCAGACCTAAATTATAGCTAGAATATATCAATGTTTAATTTTTAAAATTTTATGGTGAAAAATTCTAATATACATAAAAGGAGAGAATAATGTTATGAATCACCATGGGTCTATTATCTAGCTTCACTTATCATCAACATTTTGGCAATCTTGTTTACTTCTTATTTTTCCAGATAATTTTGAGCCAACTCCTACTGTTACATACTTAATAAACACTATAACCCTGAAAATAAATAGTAATACATGCAGATAGCAAAATTTTCAAATAGTATAAAAGCACATGAAGTAAAACTCTTCCTTCCATCTTAGACCTTTCAGACCCAGTTTTAAAAGTTAACTATCATAAAAAAAATTTTTTAGTGCATTCCTCCAAAAATTTTTACACACACAGACACACACACACACACACACACAGATCTTTAAAATAGGACCCTTTGTACTGTGCCCTTGGTCTCTGCATTTAATGATACAATATGGAGGCCATTCTATGTTTATAAGTAGAATCTGTAAGAATTTAGAAATTAACAAGAGGAAATAACTATGGATTAAATGGTCTGGGAAGGCATGAAAGGAAATGCGACTTGAAGTAAACACAGAATAAGCTAGATATTTGGTCAAGTGAAAAAAAGAAAAACAGAAGAACATTACACAAAAGGAAGCAGAGAGAACAATTTTTTTTCCTGATAGAACACAATGACCTCAACTAGTATATTAAATATACATTTCTAAGAACTATTCTAAAGAGTAAAAATGTCAATTTTCTCACCACTGTCTCAGAAAAAAGTCACACACACCACTTAAACACATACACACTTTGAAAACTACCTGAGTCAACAGGGTCTATGAATATTAGTTCTCTCACACAATCTCTAAGTGAAAAGACAAATAAATGGACAATATTGACCTTTTCACACTTACTAAAAACAGATGTGATAAGATACACCCCAATTAATTTCTGCTTTTTAATACCCTCAAAATTTGGTACTTTTGCTATAATCTTCAGGAAAATTTATCAGCTGAAAAAGTCATAAGAGATGCTTCTTCAAAGCTGGTCACAATTAAAATTTTAAAAGGATTCCATTTATAATAGAACAACAAAAATGGTACAAAGAAATAATCCTATAAAATATGTATTATCTTTTCACAAAGAAAATACAAAGTTTTATGTAAAGATACAGAAGAAGAGCTAAACAGAGGTATATATCATATTCACGAATAAGATGATAAATTATCCCCTAAACTAACACACACATTCAGCGCAATTCAAATATAAACCACAAAAGGATTCTTCATCAGATTTGACAAGCTGATTCTAAATATTTTAAAAGGGCAAACAGCCAAATTGAAAAAAAAAAAAAAAAAAAAAAAAGATCCAAGCGGGAAAACAAAGTTAGGCACTTTCTCTACAAATATTAAGTTATTATAGAGCTACAGCATTTCTACAGTAAAGATGACAATGTGACACTAATTTAGATTAGAGACATCAGAAACAGACTCAAACATATATAGAGAATTGATGTGTCAGATATGGTACTGCATATCAGTGCGGGGAAAGGCTCCAATAAACAGTGCGGGGACAATTAGTAACCTATGTGGAAAAAATAAAATTTGGTCCCTACCATAGAAGAGAAATCAAATTAAAGTGGATTAAAGACAAAACTTTAAAACTTTTAGATTAGGAAGAAAATCTTTAAGATGAGGATAGGGAAGAGTCTGTAAAAATAATGAGAAATGATAAATTCAACTGCATTAAAATTTATAATGTCTGCTCACCAAAACACCACAAAGAGTGAAAAATAATCACCAACTAGGAGATACTAGCCACAAATAAAACTCAGAAAGATCTGAATCCAGAATATACAGGGAAGTAACACAGAACATTTGATTACCTAGTAACAAGGCCATATGAAAGCATGCAGTTAAAATCCATTTGTAAAGGAACAATCACAGTTATTTCCGAAGTCTTTCAAATACTCAATACATATCCCCTGTAGGTGGTACACATCAATCCTAAAGTCCAATTTGTCCCAGAACCTTCTGTAGCACATCAATGTAAAAAGTCCACTCCTGAACACTCCAAAGAAACTCATGCACATGAATAGCTGCGGACAAGAAAGTTTGTACTAGCAGTATGCCTGTAACAATAAAAACCTGAAAACAACTGAAATATCCAATTGGGAGAATAAAAAGAAACAAGTTTTAGAACTATCAAGGAAAGCATGAGAATGTTAGACAAATACAATTCCAGGTAATAGTTACCTCTAGGATGAAGGCAAAGGTATAGATTGGGGGTGTTCCTTTTTTAAGTTGTTTCGTGGTTTCTCAAGTATTCAGTGAATACATTCTTTTTTATGTATTAAACATGTCATAAATCTTTGAAATATGCTGTCATATTTGTCTACAGGGAAATGAACCCGTGAAAGTAAGAGAAACTGAGTTAAAGAACTATAATGGCTTCCAGGCCTATAAGACTTTGAAACAATGTATCTATCCATCCAGAGGATTTTTTTTTTTTTTGAGACAAGGTCTCACTCTATCACCCAGGTTGGGTGCAATGGCGTACGTGGCTCACTGTGGCCTGGACCTCCCTGGCTCAAGCAATTCTCAGGCTTTAGACTCCTGAGTAGCTGAGACTACAGGCGCGTACCACCATGATATATGAGATGGAATCTTGCTATGTTGCCCAGGTGGTCTCAAATGCCTAGTCTCAAGTGATCCTTCTACCTCGACCTCCCATAGTGCTGGGACTGCAAGTGTGAGCAACCATGCCTGACCTCAAAAGATTTACTAGCTCTTCAAAGCATTAAAAAACGAGTCAAAGACAAATACTGGCAATGCCTATTTAAGCATTACTAAGGGAACATAAACTAGCGTAGTTGACAATTCCTTATGGGTCCCATCTCTGCAGATCTAGTGAACATATGCACTATCGGCCTTTTGTTTTAGACTATCTTTTCAAGGACGTCTGTACAGTGAAACCCTTGAAAGACACAGTGTTTCCCCTTTGGAGACAGGCTTGTTTAGTGTCCAGTATAACAAAGACAGTATCTCCTTCCTCAGCAAGTAAGGCAGGCTACTGAAGTGCACTAAAAGTCATTACAAAAGACTTGACTTCCCTAAGTTCAGGGTTCCAATGCTGGGATGCAAACCCACCGAGTGGACAACATATTCCTGAGCATCATTCCCATGGGATTTGGAGGAGCAAGGGAAACCAACACAAACATGAAGCTCATGCTACTATTGTACTGTGAATAATAATAAAGTCCTTTGTCTGACCCAGCAGCCATGTCTTCAGCAGGATTCACAAAACTAGTACGTTAACTTGCTAGCTTAATCTTTATAGTTCATCAAGGCAGTTGTCTAGTCCTTTTGGCAAGGTTGTTCCTCTGTTGTAGAAAAGGATCCATCAACTTACCCCAGTTGAATGCAATTAAACATTCAAAAGACATAGTTATTTTGTCGAGCATTTACACTCACCAAGTTAGCTTTTAGTGATGATCTCATAAAGACCTATTTTAGGTAGAGAATGTGTTAATCAGGCTACTGCAAGTAACTACAGTCCTCATGATGGTTGAAATAAAATTTTATGTTCTGATTTTCACATATCATTTTCTTAAACTCAATTATTTGAATCTCTGAAGACGACTTTAGTCCTAGTATCCTAAGAAAATAAGGTGTCTGGTCTGCAAGCTGAGGGCCAGATTCTCTACCATGGAAAAACTCATCCTGTGAGGCCTTCTTGGTCACATACAAATGGAAAACTGCTACACTATCCTAACAGCAGTGTGCTGAATGGAACTGTGTTTTATTCCTATTAAGAAACTTCTACAATATTTCTTTACTGTATGTATAGCTACAGTCTACTGCAGCTTTAAAAGAGTAAACCATTCCATTCTAATTCCTGTTAAATTGAGAAGTTCACCAATTATAACACCAGCAAATGTATAAACATCTAGTTATGCAATTCATATAATATAACCCTTGTTTCTCTAAGTCACATCAATCTTGGAGATAAGAAATTATCAATTACAAGGAATTACTTACGAGTATTATTGTTCTATTTAACATTTTTCCTAAGTGCTTTATATACAACATTAATTATTTAATATTCATAACAACTCTAGGAGGTAGATACCGATATTATTCCAATTTACAGATGAGGATACTAAGCTACAAAGAACCTAAGTAGCTTGCCCAAGGCCACACAGCTAGTAAGTAAAGAAGTTGGAATTCAGACCCAAACAGAATAGCTCTAGAGGCCATGTCATAATCCCAAAGCTAAGAGCTGTCTGCCAAATGTTGTTCACTTCTCTCTCTTGCAGTTATTCAGCACTTTTTGTACTTTCTACCTGATGACTACATTCTTCAACCACCCCATCATAACCGCCATCACTATTTTGGGAGAAGAGTTCAGTTCTTTTTCCCCATCAATCAAAAGAAGACCTTTAAATTTACAGTTCTTTCAGCCAAAGAAGGTAGGCCAAATAAATTCCCAGGGCCTGCGATGAGGAATACTGGTATATCATAACATCCCTGTGTTACATTCACCGTGTTTTCTTTCCCTGCTCAACTGTATGAATCAGTGACTTAGTTCAGGATATGCATACTTCCACTCTCTCCTATGTTGAGATGAGTTCTTCTGCCCGCCACTCAATATGTGGGAAAACATTTTGTACTTAAAACTGTTAAACTGAGTATCTCCAGATTCAAATGTCTCACAGGATGCCTGGAAGTTTATAAGCAAGTATGACTCCTGGTGGGTTCCTTTTAATATCTCAAAATCTCTAGCGAAAATATGCAGATTGCTTTTAGCCTTTATTGTTGCAATTATTTTGCTCAAAGTAAAACTGGCTTTCAATTTTTTCCTTCTTGTACCAATATCTTAATTTTTCTTTAATTTTTTATAAAATTTCATAATAAATTTGGATAACATACATAAACTACAGATAATTTTTAATCACTAAAATTAGGTAGTTTGCCAGTTTGTTGAGAGGATTAAAATGAGTTATATAAGTAAAGCACTTAAAACAGTATCTAGCACATAATAGGTACCAGCTATGATAAACATTAATAATAATGATTAGTGAAAAATAAAGCTATAGGGAGCCTGGGAGACTTACCTGGAGCCTTGTACAATCTGTGTCTACCTTGAGTAATTCAAACTGTATTTGCTATGGTATGAGAGTTGCTGGAAGAAAAGCTCCCAGATGATCTAGAAGTTTTTTTGTTCTCTCTCTACTCACTTTTAAGACTTTAGGACAAGAATAGTAGGGCCCACAATGCCGAATTAATCAAGTTTCAATTTCGTTAACTTTCTGTCTCAATAGCAAATCTGTAACTCTACCTAAACTTCACTTCCACCTTGGAAAATGAAGTAATTTTATCTTTTCTCATGCAATTCTCCTGTCTTTACAGTCTCCGTTGTGCCTTTCTCTATCAATTTTTTTCTCTGTCCTGAATCTTTTAATTTCTCCACTTTCTTCATCTTATGACCATATTCATTTCTTGACCCTGCACCCCTCTAACTCCATCTATTTGTTAAGGAAGGCTTTTGTAGTCAAGCTTCTAGAGAAGTGGCTAGCAAACATCATCTTTGTTTCCTCTCCAGTCATGCACACCTCTTAATCCCACTGAAACTGTGGTACGGTTATCAATTACCTTTATAGAGATGAATTTGAATTTTATTGGGGCATTTATGTCGTAAAATATTAACTACTCCATCATTTCCTTTCCTTACTCCATCACTGTCCTCCCTGGGCTTCTGAGACATCCTTTTCTGGGTTCTCCTAATGTGACCGCTCTTTCTTAACTCACTGTCTCAATATGTAGTGATTCCCTACCGCTAATAGTTTTAAAATAGAACATATATAGTCTTCCAAAATAATTCTAACTGTCCTCATAGTTTCAATTTTCATTCTCTGATAATGATTTCCAAAATTTATCTCCAGTCTTTAACTCTCCCTGAGCTTCAAACAATATTTAAAGAGCTACTGGTTGAAAATTTCTAAATCTGTTCAAAGACATCAAGTCACAGATTCCAGAAGCTTTATACAACCAAAACAAAATACATAACCTAATACATAGGTATAGCATAATAAAACATCTGAAAACAATAAAGATATTATTTCTTAATAGGAAGGGTAGAAACTTCTTCTCAATGGTATTACATCTTTTAAATTGATGAAAGAAAATAAATTATAACAGAATTCAATGAAAAGCAAAACATCCTTCAAAAATGAAGGAAATAAAAGATTTTTTTCAGATAAATGAAAACTGAGGTTCAGCAAGCACCAATAAACAGCAAATGATCCTAGATGGAAGTATAATACATAAGGTATTGAAGAATGTCAAAAGTCATAAAAAGGTGAATAAACCTAAATGAATGCTAACTGTTTAAAATAGTATTTTTGCAAGGTTTTAAATTTTATAAAGTTTGTAATGACAGTTACATAAAAGGTAAAAGGGAGGTAAACTGAGTTAAGATACTGTAGATATGTGCATTACCCTGAAAATGTAAAACATTAATACAGGATAGATTTTAAGGATGCAAGATACATTTGTAATCTCTAGGATAACCACTAAAAATACTTAACAGCTGTATTACTAATTAGCTAATAAAGGGATAAGAATCAAGTAGTTAAATATATTTGAATAAGCAAAGTGAAGGAAAAAAAACACAGCAAATGGGGCAAATAAAAAATGAATAAAATGGTAGATTTATATCAATAATTGTGCTAAAAGTAAATGAACAAAATACTCCAATTAAAAGACAAAGACACCCTGGGGGAAAAAAAAAAAAAAACCCAAACCCAACTATATATGGTTTAAAAGAGAGGTCTGAAATGTTGGAAGGAAAAAAGAAAAAAACCTATTGTGAAAGCGCTAACCAGAAGAAAACTGAAGTAATCAGATATCAAAAAAGTATTTTTAGGCAAGAAGTATTACCAGAGATAAAAGAGGATATCTCATAATGACAAAAGGATCAGTTCAACAAAAAAGGCTGCTATACCCAACTACTAAAAATGTGCATTCTTTTTTAATGCACATAAAACACTGACCATATATGCTGGGCCATCAACCAAGTTCCAACAAATATCAAAAAAATGAAGTCATACATGAAATCATCTTTATTTGTAACATCAAAGAGAAAACCAGAAAACCCCAAATATTTAGAAATGAAACAACCCGTTTCTGATAATGGTAAAAATAGGGCATATCATCATTTTGCCAATGATAGGTGTTGGAAGCAGAGTAGCATACGGTAGTTCACTTCTTTATTCATTCTACCTCTGGTATGTCTAAAATTTTCCATTAAAAATGAATAAACTAGAAAATATTGTAAAATGTGGATAGAGGAGTACTTAAATGAAAATTTATAGCCTTAAATACATACATTAGAAAAAGAGAGAAAAAAAGGAAAAAAGCTGAAAAAAACATCAAGAAACTATGCTTTCACAAGAATCTAAAACCAAGAAGGGTAAAGCTAAAACCTAATAGTGTAGGCAAATAGAAGTTAGAAGCGGAAATAAATGAAATAGAAAACAAACATTTAAAAAAGTAAAAAATCCAAAAGTTATCTTTGAAAAGGCTAAAATTTATCAACCCCTAAGCAAGAATAATCAAAGGAGAGAAGGCACTTATTTTCAGTATCAGCAACGAAAAATGGGATATATTTATGCCAATGAACTTGAAAATCTGGATGAAACAGACAAAGTTACTGTAAACTATAACTTGTCATAGCTGACACAAAAAGAATTAGGAAAGGTGAATAGTCCTGTGTCTGTTAAAGAAACTAATTCCGTAATTCAAAACCATCTAAAAAAAAAAAAAAAAAATCCAGGCCCAGGTGGCTTCACTAAGGAATTCTACCAAACATTTAAGAAAGAAATAACTACCAATCTTAAACTCTTCCACATATGCAAAAAAGAAATACTGTCCAACTTATTTTATAAAGCCAGCATACCCTGATAGCAACACCCAATAAAAACATTGTAAGAAAGGGGCCAGGTGCAGTGGCTCATGCCTGTAATCCCAACACTTTGGGAAGCTGAGGCGGGTGGATAGGTCAGGAGTTCAAGACCAGCATGACCAAGATGATGAAACCTCATCTCTACTAATAACTACAAAAAAATTAGCCACGTGTGGTGGCAGGTGCCTGTAATCCCAGCTACTTGGGAGGCTGAGGCAGGAGAATCGCTTGAACCCAGGTGGCAGAGGTTGCAGTGAGCCAAGATCATGCCACTGCACTCCAGCCTGGGCGACAGAGCGAGACTCTGTCTCAAAAAAAAAGAAAAAAAAATTATAAGAAAGGAAAATTATGTTGATCTCTTTTATAAGCGCAGACTTAAAAATCCAAGATGAAATACTGACAAATCGAATCTTATGTATGCTTGAATGTATACATATATGTATGTATATGTATAATGAATACATCACACGGCAACCAAGATGGGTTTATTCCAAGACTGCAAGGTTGCAAACCAATGACTGCAATTTAACAAACAGAATAAGGGAAGAAAAAATAGAATCACTTCAATTACTGCAGAAAAAGCATGTAATAAAAATTTAGTTCTGTAGGAACACAAGGTTATTCTTAATCTAATAAAGAGATCTATAAAAACATATAGTAAACACATCATAATTAATGATAAATATTGAAAGCTTTCCTGTGAGATAAGGGGTAAAATAAGAATGCTTGTGATGTCCCCTTGCTCAATCGCTACACCCATATAGGACTTTATGGTGTATATGTTTATTGTTTCACTCTGGATTTGGCTCATTATAAATCAAATTCTCCTGGTTTTGTTTGTGGGGTTTTTGTTTGTTTGTTTACTGTGTCTGGTAAAGGGCAGATGGTTTTAACGTCCTTATCTATGACATCATTCAATTTCTACACATATAAACAACGCGCCGAAAAAATATTTTATCTTCTTACCTGATTGGCTTGGCTTTGCATGTAGACTCTTCTGGCATTCAGATCTTCAAAGGGAGAAGGTCTTATATTTGAGCTTCTATAAGGCTCACTGGTAACAACTGTCTCTTGCTGAAAAAGGTGATCCTTCACTAGAGAACTGGAAGAATCCTCTTCATTTGCCTATTGGGAACAACCCTCAATGCATTAGTTGCCAGAATAAAAACCACCACCACCACAAAATAAGATACTTTCACTCTAAAAAGTATTTAGCAAGTCAATAAGTATATATCGCTACCATCGCTATGAATAGCAATTCCCAAAACTCAAATGTACATGATTATAAAGCTATGTCAAAATACAATAATATGAACTTTTAGAAAAATTCAACTTCACGAGAAAAATGGGCTTATTAAAAATAACATGAAGAACTAAAAGGCTAACCATGTCATGTAGAAGAGCTAATTATAATAATGCTTTTAACTATAATAAAAAGTGATAAATGTACATAGGAAATGCAGAAATTATTAGGAAGAAAACACAAATCTATGTTTTATTTTGCAAGTTAAAAAAATGTTCAAAGAACTCTGCTGTTGATACAGTGAGTCAAAAGACAGAAGACAACATTAGTCTACTATTGTGTTGAATGAGTGAATGAATAAATTAGACTCAACTTGCTGATTACGTAGAATTTAAATCATGTACTCTTATTAGACTTAGGTTGGGAGATATGCTCAATAAATGACACTAAAGACACTTAAAATGTCATAAACAATAATTTATATAAAATAAATATTAAGTAAGTAAAATTTAGCACACTACAAAACACAAAGTCCTGGAAGGGCTTTGTTTCATTTAATTTTTTAAAGAAACGGGATGTTACTTTTCCCATCACTGTATAATTATTTAAGAAAAAAGCTGATATCCAAGTAAAAGTGGCTGAAATACTTTCACTAGCTTATTCTAAAATAATTCAGAGTAATCACTATAGGGCTAACAATTTTAAGGGTTCAAACCTTTCATAAGCTTTTCTTTTTAAAAGATTTTGTTGGTGCTACTTCTAAAATTAACAAATAAAATTCAAAAATGACTAAGATATTTTAAATTTATAAATGCAAGTTCTAGATTTGTTCCAGAAAAAAAAATAGCCTTGTCTCATTTAATTCCTTTGGCATTCAATTTCTCAATTAGAAAATAATTGTAATACCGATGCTATTTTATGACACTGGGTTATCATAAGGATATAATGGTAATAACTGAAAATGCTCTTGAAACTAAAAGCTGTTATTGTATCAAGGAGTAGGCAATTGAACTATTAAAAATATATCTGAGAATCTACTGTCACTTAAAACTATGTCAAAACTGGCTGCTATTTTTACCCAATTTTCATAACAGCTGTCCCAATGTGTTGTGACAGTTGCTGATAAAACATTGGAAAAATGTTGGCTAAACATTGATACCCAGCAAACATGCTTTCAAAATACATAATCAAAATTGGGAAGAGTAGAAAACTTCAGGAAACGTATTTATTTGTTCCAGAGATTTCTGAAAATAAATGACTCAAATAATTGTCAAAAATCATAAGCAAACTGAATAGAATACTGGGAGAAAAAAAACAAAACAAAACAAAAATGGGTGAGAAAAGACCTAAGTTAGAATCTTGTCTAACTTCTCTAAACCACAATTTCTTTCCTTTTTTTTTTCTTTTGAAATGGAGTCTTGTTCTTGTCACTCAGGCTGGAGTGCAGTGATGCAATCTCGGCTCACTGCAACCTCCACCTCCCAGGTTCAAGCAATTCTCTGCCTCAGCCTCCTGAGTAGCTGAGATTACAGGAGCCCGCCGCCACGCCCAGCTATTTTTTTTTTTTTTTTTTTTTTTTTAGTAGCAATGGGGTTTCACTATGTTGGCCAGGCTGGTCTCGAACTCCTGACTTCAAGTGATCCACCCGCCTCGGCCTCCCAAAGTGCTGGGATTACAGGCGCACAATTTCTTTTTATTATAAATTGAATATCTGCCTCAATAATCTCAGGGTTGGGATACTCAGGAGACTGAAAACTATAAACAATCATAAGTTTTAGGAGTAGTATCAGTGGTAATTATAAGATATTGCTTTTAATTGTGACTTTTTTGAATTATCTTTTACTAAATTATAATAACTGAGAAGTTATATTAAAATTATAAATTAAAATAAAGCTGACTTTAAAAATATCTGCATATGAACAAACTTAGTGTCTTGCTGTACTGAGTTGGGTTATTCTATTTATATCCTGTAAATTAAACATTAACACATTTTACTTTAAATATAATACTTTTTTAAAGAAAATATCACAAGTGTTTATTGCTTCATTATTAAATTGTGTGTAATATTTAAGTAACAAATGATTTTTAAATGTTTACCAATATAGCTGGAATTAACCTATTAACTAGGAATAGTTCATATCGCACAGTGAATTTATAGCTACACACCTAAACGGGTCTCAGTGAATAAAATAACCAAAGCATCATTCAAGTGTCTGATATGGCAAACAAAAGACTGTTTGAAAATGCAAAGTATACAATCTACAATGAAGTATATATTATTCATGAATTGTAAGAATCAAATTAACATTATAGAGAATCCTAAACTAGAAAAAAGTATCTTCCTACTACCTAATTAACTCTTTCAGCAAGTTAAATGCTTAAATGCATATTAAATTTACAGGTTTTTTAAAAAGTGGTGATAAGGAAAACAGGCATACTCATTGCTAATTCTACACACACAGAAGTAAAATAAAATCTGGAACAACTCTTTCTGGAAAGCAATTTTAATAATAATGCAATAAAAAAGCATTTAATAAAATGTACCAAAAGCTTTTAAAACATTCACACATTTTGACCACTTCTTGAATCTAGCAAAGAAAAAAAGAGTACTAAAATGGAAAAAGCTTTAGGCACAAAGTATTTTTCTCAGAATTATTATTTGTTGTTGTTTTAAAGTTTTTTATTTCACTAGTTTTTTTGGGGAACAGGTGGTTTGGTCACATGAGTAAGTTCTTTAGTGGTGATTTCTGAGATTGTGGTGCACCCATCACCCAAACAGTGTACACTGTACCCAATGTGTAGCCTTTTATCCCTCACCACCCCCACCCTTTTCCGAGTCCCTAAAGTCCAACATATCATTCTTATGCCTTTGTGACCTCATAGCTTAGCTCCCACTTATGAGTGAGAACGAGTGAGAACCTATGATGTTTGGTTTTCCATTCCTGAGTTGCTTCACTTAGAATAGTTTCCAATTCCATCCAGGTTGCTGCAAATGCCATTATTTCTTTCCTTTTTATGGTTGAGTAGTATTCCATAGTGTGTGTGTGTGTATATATATAATCAAAATTGGGAAGAGTAGAAAACTTCAGGAAATGTATTTGTTCCAGAGATTTCTGAAAATGACTCAAATAATATATATAACATATATATAAAATATTATATATATAACATATATATAATATTATATATATATATACACACACATACACATACACACACACACACACACACACACACATTTTCTTTATCCACTCATTGATTGATGGGCATTTGGGCTGGTTCCATATTTTTGTAATTGCAAATTATAGTGCTCTAAGCATGCATATGCAAGAAACTTTTTCGTATGACTTCTTTTCCTTTAGGTAGAGAACTATTTTAAATAGTAAAAAGAAACAACTTGAACATGGCATAATAAGGGAAAGGTGAAGTAAATTATGATATGCCCATAAAGTGAAATACGGTGTTGTCATTTGAAATCAGGTTTGGGAATAATATAATATACAATGTAGGAAATGTTTAGTGTTAAAAAGTCAGTACATAAAATTTTATTTACAGTATTATCATAGCCATAAAAAGATAAAAAGTTGGAAATAAAATGAAGGCTAATACTCCTTGGTGGTATGATTAATTTTCCAATTTTGTAAGCCTGCTTTTACATAATTTTAAAATCAAGGTACTGCATACTTTCTCCCTTTTGATATAGAATCATTTTATATTTTAAATTTTTATTATTTTAAACTTTATTAGAGGTGTAACTCAATGAGACTGATCTTTTTTTCAATTAACATGTTTATGAATATTATTGCTAGAATGAGGCAGGTTTAGCATCAATTCTATTCCTGTTTTGCCTTTCTTTTTCAAGAGACAGGGTCTTACTATGTTGTCCAGGATGGCCTCAAACTCCTGGCCTCAAAATAGTAGCTGATACTACAGACGGGTATAGGCCATTGTGCCTGATAAATCATAATATTTAAAAATATAATACAAATATACTGTAACAATGAAATCATTTTTTAGCTTAAATACATTTTCCCTCTTCATCTGAAATAATTAACTGAGACATACTATACCTTTGCCCAAATCCTTCTGAATTCATGCAGAATATGTCTTTATGTCAATAAAATAATTTTCTAAACAAGGTAATCTTCTGAGTATCTTTCACATCCATTTCCTCTTCTCAATACCTACTATTCACTGTCTTAGTGCAAAGCCCTCATTATCTTTTTTTGCCTGTCTTATTTCAGTAGGTTTCTAACTGATTTCCTTGTTTCCAGCCTTTGTCCCATTATTCTTCAGGCAAATCTAATTGGTTTTTCTGTTCAAAACCCCTTAAGGTTTCCAATTACCAAAGCTTTGTTGGAAGACTGGGCACGTACTGGAGAGGACAGGGAGGAGAATAAGTATTAGCTAAGGAACTCTTTTGCAAGGTACATAATTTACACAGTACATAGAAATGAGCCCTCTCTTCCTGGGAAACATGAGACTCACAAGATAAAGCCCAATTTTATTTTCCTATGAAAAAGAAATGGAATGTAAGTATATAAAAACATACTGACCATTCAATTAAAGACACATGAAAGTATAATGCCATTTTTATATACTAACTAGGAAAGATGTAAAAAATAGGTAGTAATACTCAATGTTGGCAAGGGTTTGGAGAAATAGAAATACTTTTTTGCGCTGTTGGTGAGAGTGCAATTTGATAATGGCACTGGAAAAAAAAAAAATCCGTACTTTTTGACCCAGCATTTCTACTTTGAGAGATTGACTGTATATACAGATACACACACACACATACACAATCACAGTAGCACTATTTTTTAACAAAAATAAAGAAAACAAGAATCAAAATATCAAAGAAAACAAGAATCAAAATATCTTATGGCTCTACCAGCAGGGAACTGGTCAAAAATTAAGATATATGACAGAATTCTGTGCAGCTATTAAAATGATATTTTCAGTATTCCCAAGGTATTGTTAAATGAAAAAAGCTAGGTACAGAACAGTCAACATGGCATGATCCCATTTGTCTAACTGATAGAAGGATGAATTGATGGATTCATATTTTTACTTTTAAAATACCAGAAACTATCAATATAGTTCTGTGGAGTTGAGGCTAGAACCAGGGGATTCATGGGTTCTCTCTCCAAGGAGTTATTTTATATGTATAAAGGACTATACACATAATCATACAAAGAATAATAGAACGTGTACATTTGTCACCCAACTTAAGGAAAGTGAACATAACCAATACAACTAATTACTCCTCTGTGTTTCTCTGTATTAGCACCCCCCACCTCTACCACTTGGACCCTCAGCAGATAAACCCTATCTTGAAGTCATATTTTTTTTCATTTTCTTATCTTCTTTACAGTTTTACTACACAAATATCCCTGAACAATATTTAGTTATAGATGCTTTTGAACTGACTGATATCATGGGACATTCTGAAATTTTTTGCTCAATTTTTTTTCAGTGAAATTCATTCACCTTGACATGTGTAGCAATAATCAGTCATTTTGACCTCTGTGTACCAATGATAGCTAAAATATATTGAGCATTTTCTGTGTATCAGACAGTCTCAACTACTTTACATGGGTTAACTCAATCTTCACAATAATCCTTTGAGGTACATAGTATTATCAACCTACTCCGTATGAAGAGACTAAAATTCAAAGGGATTAAGCAACTTGCCTAAAATAAATGTTACTAGGCGGCAGAGTCTGGATAAGAACACTACAATTTATTAATCTATTCTCTGTCTATGGATGTTTGGGCAGTTCTAATTTTTTGCTATTTCAATAAATGTTGCTAGGAATAATAGTGTATAGGCCTTATGGTATATATGACAAAAAGTTTCTCTAGAAGACAAAGAATAGAAATACTGGGTCACAGGATATACATATGTTCCAGTTCTCATAATGAAAATGATTTTTGAGGTGGTTTGAACAATTCATGTATTCACAATCGGTGCTCCATATTCTTACCAAGACTAGGTACTGTCACACTGTTCACTCTTATATGTATTTCTGCTATTTAATTTCTATTATAATGGATCCATCTTATTAAAAATTATATAGTGGCTTTCCTTATGTGAATAAGAAACTCCAAGAATGAACAAAAGAATAAATGAACACACAGTCTGTTACTTTAAAATAGTCAATATACTTTCTTAATATGGCTTGTTCCTACTGATTTTCATCCTCATTTCTTTGCTTTACAAATATTGATGTACCTGTCTCTTTCTGTTAGCATCTGATGTTTCATACTTCTGATTTTCTGGTACATGTCAATTCCTCTGCCCAACAATGACATGCTTCAAATTTTCCACTAAAAAACTGTTTTATGCTTAACCTCAGCTACAAACTCATCAAAAAGTCTTTGTTGATTCAGTCACAAGTTAATCACTCCCTCCTTTGAATTACCTTAAAATTATATGTATCTATCACCCTATATTCTGAGTACTCTTTTACTTACGTTTTTCCTGTGAACCAGTGCTATACTCCGAATGTTTGTGTCCCCCACAAAATTCATATGTGGAAATCTAATTACCAATATGATAGTATTAGGAGGTGGGGCTATGATTCAATTAGGAAGGTAGAGCCCTCATGAATGTGATTAGTGCCCTTATAAAAGAGACTCCAGAGTGCTGTCCTGTTCTTTCCACCATGTGAGGATATAGCCAAGTATCACTTATGAACCTGAAAGTGGGCCCTCACCAGGCACAGTCTGTGCCTTGAGTGGACTTCTGAGACTCAAGAATGGTGACAAATTACTTTTGTTTATAAGCTACCCAGTCACGGCATTTTGCTGTAGCAGCTAGAATGAACTAGGACAACCTGTAAGGAGGGCTCTGCCTAAGTTTTATCCCTGGAGCATAGAACTATATGCCTGGCACACACTGAAAATTCTATAATCTGTGACATGCAAATATCCAATAATCAGATCACATTGATACCTCAGGAGTAAATGTGATACATTAGAAAAAAAGTGTATAGAGAGAGCTCCTTAAGCCATAATAAATCTAAACACTCTAGCTAGCTAGCTAGACAAGGTCTTGCTCTGTTGCCCAGGGTGGAATGCAGTGGCACGATCACAGCTCACTGTAACCTTGACCTTCTAGGCTCAAATGATCCTCTCACCTCAGCCTCCTGAGTAGCTGGGACTACAGGTGGACTCCATCATGCCTGGCTAATTTTTTGCTTTTGGTAGAGACAGAGTCTTACTATGTTGCTCAGGCTGGTTTTGAACTCCTAGGCTCAAGCAGTCTTTCCATCTCATCCTCCCAAACTGCTGGGATTACAGGCATGAGCTATCACACCTGGCAAAAAATATCTTTCAATAACTGTTATTCAAAGTTCAAGTTATAAAAACAATAAAAATTATTTCCATAATCCTACCCCCATGGAATAGCCACTATTACTATTTGACATATATCTTCCTAAACTTCCTAATGCATGCACATGTGTTTACATGCTATGTATAATTTGATCCCATTTATATTGCAGTCTATCCACACAGTGCTCTTTTTCTTCACTCCTTAACATTCCATGGACCTTTCCCCATACCAGTATACAAGTTACACTTTGCAACTGCTGCAAAGAAGTCCAGTATTGCATATGTCATATATTACTTAGCTAATACTCTGATTATGGGCATTTAGGTTTCCAAAATTTTGTTATATGCATTGTAATGTACTTCTTTTTACATATATCTTGGTGTACTTGTATTATTTATTATTAGTTCCTATAAATGGAATTGTTGAATAAAGTATATACACATATTCAATTATATTACCAAGCTACCCTTTGGCAAACTTATGTTATCAACTGAAAACCCCTTAATTGTTTAAGACAGAGGATACATTTCCTTACATCTCTGCCCACACTGGGCCTTACTGCTTACCTAATTTTTATATTAGGGATGTTCAACCTAAGTATAAATGCGTATGATATAATATAATATAATACAATATACCTACCCTAGTAAAAAAAATTCAAAATCTGAGCATTCTTTTGAGCCACATGTCAGTGCTTAAGAAAATCTGAATTTTGGAACATTCTGAATTGTGGATTAGGGATGCTCAACCTGTACTAATAACCAAAACACTTTCTTAATTTGGATATGATTGAGCATAAAGTGTTCAGACTTAGACAAACTTCTATTTTTTTTTTAACTGGGTTATAACCCCTGAAAAGTGACAATTACTATGGAAACATGAACATAACATAAAATTAGGTGGTGAGAAATGCCAAAAATCTTCCACAAGAGCAAAAAGTTTAATATATGATAGGCACAAAGACTGTAAATACACTGGCATGACCTCTAGCTTAAAAAAAATTACATCTATAGCATTTATATATACTCACTTTCAGTGCTTTTAGTATTGTATGCTGGCACAGGCTAATGTGTATTGTCTACAAAGTAACCCATGCCAATAGTTAATGCACAATGAAAATTTGTTTTACTCTCAGCTGCTGGTGTAAGAATTATTCTCTTATGGTTGATAAGTGCCTAGCTTTTTATTTTTCAAAGACTTCTATAGCAATTTTGTGTGTGGAGGCAAAAGGATACAGAGTAAAGCAATAAAATAATTCCAGCTGTAGCTCTTGATCAGAACATAAGGCCAGATGACAGCTGCAGAAAAAACAAAAAAAGATTTTGCTTCTCTCCTCCCTTTGCACCCCTTCTGCTGGTACTAGTTCTTAGAGAAAATTTAGTACTGTTTTGCAAACCCTTGTTAATGTATGATTCCCAATAAATAAGTCAAATGCAGAAAAAAAGGGATATCACAGTCGACATACTGCTCAAGAACATCATTCTTGTAATTGTAAATCACAAATTACAGGTTTGCAAAATGTGTGGCTGGCTCATATACTACTAAAATAAGTTTTTAAATAATTATATCATTGGTTTATTAAATGACAGAAGTGGTTTAAAATTTTCTTTGGTAAAGAGCCCTTATATCTTGGCATTACATGTGTTAAACATGCTACCAAAGCAATTCTTTAGGTATTTAAAATTATATGCTCAAATTATGCTAGCTTAGGAACCATAGAAAAAAAGGAAAAAAATTACTCTAATTCCACAAGCCCAACAAAACCATTATTAACATGTGGTGTAGTGTTTCCAGTTGCAATTCATTTTAAATTTGGCCACAACTGTCTCCTATTCTGTTCATTAGCTTTCTTTAGTTTGATTAGCTTAAGGGTAAGAATAAACCAGCCCCTGAATTTTTAGTTTTCTATTTGTCTATGAGCTTTGACTGGAAACATTAACAGCATATAGCATTTTCTTTAAGCAACCTGAACACAGTGATCTGTGATGAAATAATATAGAAGGAATATAAAAAATGCAGCAAGACACAATGTCTGGCAATAGTGGTAAAGGAAAACAAGTCCTCTAACCTGGCTTATTCAACAGAAGAACTAAACTACGTTTCTAATGAAGAGTTAGTTTGGCTTAATGTGGTATTAGGTTTGCAGAGATTGTTTACTGTCTGTAGATCTACTTTTGAGTTAATAAGCAGTAGTTACACACATCCTGCTAACACATAAATCTTCAACCCTTTAAATGATAAGTATATTTCTAGGATTTTTATCTTAAGGTCACACTCAAAGATACAAATTAAAATGTATGCAAAATGCTGTGGGAAATATTCAATGACGTGAATGATTAAATTGTAGTATAGCTACATAATGTAATAGCTAAGATCAAAGACTCTGAAGTTAGACTGACACAATGAAAATGGCCAAGAGATTTTAAACTAACTGCATTTTAGAAGTATGATCCCAATGGTGCTTTTAAAAGGAAGTATGCATTTGTATACAAGATGCCAGAAGAAAGAAAAACCTAAGCAGAAATATTCAAATATAAACAGTAATTATTTTGGGGTAGGAATGAATGATTCCTAATTTTGTCTTTGTAATTTTCGAAATATGCACATATTAGTCTAAGAGTCAATAAAATTTTAAATAACATTATGCAAAAAGTTATACAGAGAATTTTTTTGCTCTCTTATTGGGCAATAAATAAAACTCAACCTAAGATACAACAGGGCTTTCTGAAAACTGTTAAGGCAGCACTTACTAAAGGATTGTGATAGCTTGCAGTATCATTAAATACTCTGTACTACCTAAATAAAGCCAATCCACTAACTTAGTTTTCAGATATAGAGCCTTATTAAAATATTACCACCTTTGAAAATCATTACATGAACAATTCATATCCCTTGCCTAAAGCAAAATTAGACAAACATAAATCATAGCCTTCTAATCATTTTGGCTCAGAAATGACATTACTTACTTCTAAAGAAGATTAACTTAGTCACGTACTTCTCAATGGCCAAATGAGAAAACATGACAATGTTTTACTTCATATCAATCAGATCTCATCTTTCTTCTGCCCAAAAACATGATATCTAAGATCTTTTCCTCTTTCAACCTCAAGCCTGTTGTGAGGTAAGTTTTGTGGGTTTTGTTCTCAATCCAGCATATCTGAACAATAAGAGCTGTAAATGTTGTGACAACTCTGTCAGCACTTAAAATGATCTTAAAACAAGCATAAGCTAGCATTAAACAACAACAACAAGAAAAACCTAGACCAGGCACAGTGACTCATGCCGTAATCCCAACACTTTGAGAGACCAAGGTGGGTGGGTGGATCACTTGAGCCCAGGAGTTTGAGACCAGCCTGGGCAACGTGGCAAAACCCCGTTTCTACCAAAAAGATACAAAAATTAGCCGCGAGTGGTGGTACGTGCCTATGGCTACTCGGGAGGCTGATGCGGGAGGACCATTTGAGCCCAGGAGGCAAAGGCTACAGTGAGCTGAGATCATGCCACTGCACTCCAGCCTGGGCAACAGAGTAAGACCCTGTCTCAAAAACAAACAAAAAAACCAAAAGCTCTCAATTGTCTCATTAAAATAGTCAAAGAAAAGAAACCAAATGAAAAGAACATTCACACCTTAATATTGGTTAGGTTTTTAAAAATCTTAACTTTTAAGACTTTTCCTCAAAACTTTTGAGTGCCAACTATGTATGTGATTAGCACTATACTACACATCAGGAATAAAAGATAAGAAAGATAGGATTTTAAATTCAAATGATGATCTGTTATAAAACCCTCCAAAGACAGATATGAAATAGAAAGGTAAATTTCTTTGTTGACTTATGATAATTGATGAAGACATTAATTGTTGAAAGCAGAAAGTTGTCCAATAGCTTATGAAGGAAATGTCTAGCAGTTATTGGTGCAGAAATAGGTACTCAAATATTTGTTGAATTAATTAATGAACATCCAAAAGGGAGAGGATTTCCACTCTTGACATTTAATGCCTTCAAAACATTTATTTAAATATAACATTATCATTACTTTTACTGTTAAAAAATTAGATAATGCATTATTCTTTTAAACTATATTAGTTGTCTTTGCAAACAATTGCCAATGAAGTAAACCCGATATAAACACCACCTTAAACCATAATCTGTATTCAAAACATTTATGCCAAGCCCATAAGATGAATTATGAAACTTAACATGATCTATTTTATTCCTAATAAAGTAGCTAGATAAATCAGAACACACTGCAACTTCCCATACATTCCAAAAGAAGAATGACCTTCTAAACCTTTAGAACATCATGAATGAAATAAATGGTACTAAGGTAAATTTAAGAGTTTTCTTTTGCAGTTGTAACTCTGAAAAAATTAGCTATCATTCTAATCGTCTTAAGAAAAAGTTAAACTTCCCTTACTGCTTGTGCATTCTTTACCTATAGATGCATTAAAAATTACCACAAAACTTAGCAGCTTCAAACACAAACATTTATTATCTCATAGTTTCTGTAAGTCAGAAATGTGGGACCAATTTAGCTGGGTGATTCTGGCTCATAGTCCCCATGAAGTTCTAGTCAGGATATTAGCAGTGGCTGTAATTATCTGAAGGCTTGTTTGTGGCTGGAGGACTTGCTTTCAGGATGGTTCACTTCATGTGGTTGTTGCTAGAAGGCTCCAGTTCCTTGCTGGTTGTTGGCAGATGACCTCAATTCCTCACATGGATCTCTTCATACATCTCTCCTCCAGTGTCTTCACGTATAGTGGCTGGCTTCTCCCAGAGTGATCCAAGAGAGAAAGCAAGATGGAATCCAGAAATTTTCTTAGGATCTACCCTCAGAAGTCACACTTCATTTTCAACACATTCCGTGTGGTAGAAGTGAGTCCCTAGGAACAGCCTACACTCAGGAAGAGGGGAATTAGACTCCAATGATGAGAGAAGTATAAAATAATGTTTCCGTATTTTAAAACGACCATACTTCACTGCTCTTTGAACACCAATTATTTATATTTTTCTCATATTCAAAATACACTCTACCCTCCCATGACTCCCTAAAAGTCTCATCTTTTTACAGGAACATCTTCAAAGCTAGGATGTTGTCTTCTAAACAGGTGCAGGTACAGATGAAATTTCCTGGGTGTAGGTAGTTCCTTAAATGCTGCTCCTTGAATATATATTGCTTCTCTCAATCTCGTTTCTGGAACTTAAGAGACAAATTACCTGCCCAACACATACCCAAAAGACAATGGTAGGACAGGCAGAGGGTAACTGCCATGTGACCTTCTTGCTCAAAAGTGGAAAAAATGAGAGGAACAACATAGTTATTGGTGCACATAATTCTGAAATCAAGGTGGCAATGTTAGAAGTTCCTAGAGTGGAACTTAGGACCTGGGAATAATTTTTCATAACTCGTGGCTCTGGCCTGAGATCTTGGTTCTAATTTCTAATTTCCTTCTATTTTCATTGAAAGGTAGGCCAAATTTGCATCTGCATAGTGTTTTCAACTTGCTTCCTGCCAGTGGAATTTTGGGGATCCAAAGGGCCCCTCTTCAATCAAAGGTGGTATTTCTGCCAATATAATGCTTTGAAAAACTTTGTGAATCTTGTAGAGGTCCACTCCATTAGATAAAAAGCACACTCATAAATGAGAAAAACTCTTCTCAACCTTAAACTTCTGCTAAGTGACATACATTTACACTTCGTATAGGACCTACTACTTCAATCGAAAGTTTCTCTGAGGTTCATCTTAAATCCTCCTGAGGTCTTAACAAAGGAATTTACACTCACATCCTTAGACAATGCTTTTCTAAGAAGGCCCTGGATTTGATCTTTGCTTAGAAGCCATTTCTTAATCTTAGCCATTTGACATACTGAGAAACTGAGAATTCTCAAAACCAGCAAAGCCCTGGGTTCTTTTTGTTTAGGAGCCCTTCCTTAGCTTACTTCTCTCATTTACTGTTTATCATAAGCAGTAAGAAGAAATCAGGCAAACAGCTTCAACCTTTTGCTTGAAAACTCCTTAGCTTAACCACTCAGTACATTAGGTACATTTTCTGCCTCCCACATTACTGCCATGACATTGTTGCTAAGCTTTCAGCCACTAAATAAACATTCCCTTTCTTCCATTTTCCAATATGGTTTTCTTCATTTTCATTTAAGCCCTCACTGACGCTCTATCCAAAGATCTTCAAGCTTCCAGTAAGTCTCTTCGGAACTTCACTAAAACTCGCCTCAAAGACCTTCCAGCTTTTATTTACTGTCTGAGTCCTGAGTCCAAAGTCATTCCCATGTTTTAGTATTTGTTACAGCAGCACTCCATTTTCAGGTCTTCAGAATCTGCATTAGTCAAAAATCATTCCCAAATTTAGTGGCTTAAAATAACAAACATTTATTATTTCACAATTCCTGTTGACCAGGAATTCAAGAGCAGCTTAACTAGATGGTTTTGGCTCAGGGTTCCTCATAAGGTTGCAATGAAAACATGCCACAACTGGTCATCTATTAAGGCTTGCTTGGAGCTGAATAACCTGCTTCCAAGGTGGTTCACTAATATGGCTATTGTCTGAACGCTTCAGTTCCTCACCACATGAATATCTACACAGTGTTGCTTGAATGTCCTTTTAATATGGCAGTTAGGCATCCTCCATAATGTGGGTGACCTCACGCAATTAGTTGAAAGGCATAAGAAAAAAGATTGAGGTCCTCTGAAGAAAATAGAATTCGGCCTTCTCATGACTGCAACATCAACTTGTGCCAATTTTCAGCGTGCCTGCCCATTCTGCCAACCCAGCCCACAATCTTATGAACCACTTCCTTAAAAAAGAAAAAAAAAACCCCAGAAACTTTACTTTCTATATAAAGATTGATATCTCTTATCTGAAATGCTTGGAACCAGAACTGTTTCAAATTTCAGAATATTTGTATGTGCATAATAAGACATCTTAAGGATAGTACCCAATTTAAAGATGAAATTTATGTTTATACACCTTATAACACACAGGCTGAAGGTAATTTTATACATGATTTTAAATAATTTCGTGCATGAAACAAAATTCTGACTGCATTTTTAGTGTGATTCATCACATGAGGTCAAGTGTAAATTTTTTCTACTTGAGGTGTCATGTCCATACTCAAAAAGTTTCGGATTTTGGGGCCAGGCACGGTGGCTCAGGCCTATGATCCCAGCACTGTGGGGAGGTGGGTGGGTTGCTTCAGCCCAGGAGTTCGAGACCAGCTTGAGCAACATAGCAAGACCTTGTCTCAAAAAGAAAAAAAGTTTCAGATTTTGGAACATTTCAGATTTTAAATTTTCAGATGAGGGATGCTCAACCTGTATTGGTTCTTTTCTTCTGGAGAAATCTGACAAATAGAGTGTCTTAGAAATATTCTTAGTAATTGATAAGTTTATTGAATAAGGCTAGTGATTTCTTCCACATCCTTTATGTTTACAAATTCCTTCCAAGCCATTACTTACTTGTAAGTCATCTGCCCCTTCAGCTTCATTTTTTGATTCGGGGCATCCTAAGAAAATAGATAAAAGTTAATTAAGTATAGAATTTTTGTCTTAGAGTCCAGTATTAATGACTAATTGATTATGTCATTATAATACTTTAGAAGACTAATCAGAGATCTTTCTGGACTGCCTGGCAATTAAGGTACTGGCCACTTGCATTTGCCCCTGTTAGAATAATGGAGAATAATGTAATTATTTCCCTCCTCTATAGGTAAATTTCCAGCTGCTTACTAACGAGATGTTTTCTCTGAAAGTATACTATCTCTAGCTACCCCTGCCCCTAGTTTCTCCCAAATACTCAAAATTACTAGGCAGATTATAATTACATTGCTCTGGTGATGCTAAGATGTGATTTATTCAATTTTTCTAAATGCTTTGACCCAGGAAACAGTATTTAGTACCCATAACCAGGATTTTAGTTGCTTTAGCTAAGATGGAAAACAAATGAGTTTTAATCCACTATTGACAGTTAATGGCCAATTGTTGTTACTGACTTTTTTGCATCAACGTCTCTGTACAGATTTTCATGCTGTTAAGAGTACCTTTAGTTTCAATAAATTAATAAGAAAGGATTTGTCCTAGCAAAGTACTCTTAGTTCATGCTACCCTTGAGAGGCACAGCTTAGCACGGAGTAGGCATGAGATAAGAAGAAATGCGCCCTTTGGAAAGAGCAGCATATTTTATCTTTTTGTCACAGAAGGTCGAGTAAAAGCAATTTGAGATTGTTGAAAGTCTATATAGCAGCTGATAATAATGCTAGCTAATGTTTTTTAATGTTCAAAAATAACAAGGCAGACTAAGTACTGTAGTCTACTCTACCTAGAAGTTTGTAAGCTACTCCTTATAAATCATTTTTTAAAACATTAAACCCAATCTGTTTGATCCTAGTGAAAGAGGTATACTGTTATGGTACATGAGCATAAACTTAAAAGTAATTCAAAACTTTAAATCATATAAATTCCAGCAGCCATGGATACTATTTTTCTCTCTCTTTAAAGCACTGGTTCTTCAAACCTGGCTAAAGGTTAGAATCAACTGAGGAATTGTCAAAAAATACACTGATGCCAGAGTATGGCGTCAAACCAAAATATATCAGAATCTCTGTGGAATGAGGCACAGAACATCATGTATTTTTTTTTTTAAGTTTCTTATTTTTTTTTCTTCAAATTCAAATTACAATTCCTTGACTAGAGAACAATTCTTCACCATATTTGAACTTTCTTGGAGTTTTTGAAAAATAAGGGATGACTCGACTCTATTCCCCAGATAGATTCAATTGGTCTGGAGTGCAGACTAGTCATTTTAAGCTTCAAAAGCTTCCCAGGTGATTTTAATGTGTAGCCAAGGTTAAGAACACTGATCTAAGGAGAATTTATGGGGTCTTACAATAAAGACAAAATGGCTACTATTACTTCATAGTAATTTTTTCTGGATCAGAATAAAAAATTACTCATTTACCAAATTCTAATCTTTTAAAGTAGCTAAATAAATTACTTAACTACAGTTTTATGCACTATCAAAACAGATTTGTACAATGTATTTCCATGTTCTTGCCTGTGACTGGTCTCACAGTTTATGTTTTCAGATTTTCTTATTAAAATGACATCTTCAAAATAACACAAATCACAACGTAGTCTAGCACACTTTCAGTTACTTTATATAGAAAGTTAGTTAAATTGAAATAATTTTCCTCCTAATTAGAAAAAAAAATCAAGTCTTAGTTCTTCCTTTATGGGAAGAAATGGGTTTTAATGTGATTTTTGTTTAAGTAAGCATAAGCCAGTCTTACATGAAAAAACATTATTCTTCCCTTCAAAACCTGTATGCTTTTGAGTTAATAATTTTAATAGACTGGCAAGATAACAAAGGAATAGATGAGCTTGTGGTCTCTGCCAATCCTCAATAATGAAATCAATCAAGTAAAGACTTTTGTCATGGAATAACTAGAGTCTACATACATTTGAATATTACAAGTTCTATATAATTACCCAAAAAAAGGATGTGACTGGTGTCATACATACACAAGTAGAATACCAACTGGGATTCTCGCAGCTGTACATTTCTATTCCCTCTTCCTTCAAGCTCTTATTTTAAAACATTTGAATTATCTGAAGTCAGCTGTTGATGGACTCTTCAAGATAATACATGCAATTGACATAGACTATGATGTGACAAATACAAATCACGTTAAGGAATCTATTATTTTATCTTCATCTATTGTGAGGTTTCAAAGCCTGGTCACATATCACAAAAGCTGACATGGTTAAAGTGTGAAAACTACTTTGGGTCAACTTTAAGAAAGATAACCTCTACTATATATAACCGATAAATAAATTAAGAAAATAGTCAAGAATACCTACCTTGAGAAATATCCTCTATAGCTCTTCGGATACCTCTATCAAAAGCCCTAGCATCAGCAGGACTTTGAAACGTAAGACCAAACTTCTTGTCATCAATCTTCCAGTGGTGAAATGTTGGAGTGACCTTATTATAAATGAGGTCTTTTTTAAGCATACATTCCAAAACCACCTGACAAAAGCCAAATACCAAAAATTAATATACATATATCAAATGCATCTAATGTAGCTCATAAATACAAACTGAGGTGATACAACGCTATTACTTTTTAATGAATAATTTTTAGTATTTTAAATAAAGTGGTCTACTTCACAAAGTCACTCAATAAAGAGATTAAGATGGAATAAAAAAATGCACATTATAAACAGGATGCTTATTATACTCCCATTTTAAGAATACACACATATATACACTCCCATTGCATACAAAATTTCTGGAGGAATATATCAGGAATTACTTCCAGGAAACAGGCAGGGGGTTGGTAATAATAGAAATTTAACTTTTTAAAGTCATTTTTGGCTGGGGGCAGTGGCTCACACCTGTAATCCCAGCACTTTGGGAGGCCGAGGCGGGCGGATCACTTGAAATCAGGAGTTTGAGACCAGCGTGGCCAACATGGTGAAACCCCATCTCTACTAAAAATATAAAAAATTAGCTGGGTGTGGAGGTACATGCCTGTAATCCCAGCTACTCAGGAGGCTGAGGCAGGAGAATCGTCTGAGCCCAGGAGGTGGAGGTTGCAGTGAGTTGAGATCACGTCACTGCACTCCAACCTGGGCAACACAGTGAGACTTTGTCTCAAAAACAAAACAAAACAAAATAAAGTCATTTTCCTAAACTTCTTAAAAGACGTATTTATATTTTGTGTAAGGATTTAATGGTCACAGCAGTAAAACAAATACACTTGGCCACTTTTTCAAAATATGCATTTAAGTGAGTTACCTAACTTTTGAAGCCTTAGTTTACTCATCTGTAAAACAGAAATTGCAGTACTAAAATATCCCAGAGCTTAGAGTGGAATGACCGAATGTGCATTCATGTTAAGAGCTTCATGCAATGCATGAAGCAATATACCCTTGGTTTTTAAATTTTTTATTTTGAAAGTATTTCAAATTTGTAGAAAAGTAACAAGAATAACACAGAAAATTCCTGTTTTCCCTTTATCCAGATTTATCACATTAATTTTTAACATTCTCTCCACATATATCCATGTATAAACATTTAATTTACTTTATTATGAACTATTTCAAAGGAGTTACATATATTATGTTCTACTGCTCTTTAATACACACTTGAGTATATTTCCTAAGTGCAATACTATTCTCTTATGTAATCACAGTATGGTGATCTCATTCAGGAAATTTAAAACCAACACAGAACTTTAATCTATAGACCATGTTCCATAGACCACGTTCCACTTTTGCCTACTATACTAATAACACCTTTTAGAGCATTTTAAAAATCCTTCCAGTATAGGATCCATTCCAGGACAGTTATAAGGTCTCTTCAGTCTTTCGTTCCTGGGCCTGTCTTTCATCATATTCACAGTATGCTTTTAATATATGTTAGTTGTCAAATAAAACAAAAGTGGATATATTAGTGATCTTTGCAATTAATCTAATAAAAAGACTAGAACTACACACCTTAATTATTTTAAGAATCCCCTATAAGAAAACAGGAGGAAAAGAATTAAAAATAATTCAAATGAAACCCATAGTAGCACATGACACATAATAAATGCTCAGCTGGTATTTGGTGAAAGGTTGTATTTTCATTACCTCCACTCTTTTCCAATCACCATTATCACTTGCACATCTCTTCCATGCACTGCTGATGATCCCCTCAGATATTACTAGTAGTAGTGAATTACTAATAGTAATTGCACTACTCTGCAGGTAGAGTAATAATTTTTCTTAAAAAAAAATAGCAACTTTACTGGACCACTCCCTAGTTTCAATGTCTTTTCAATGCTTTCAAGACTAAAATTCTTACTATGACCTACTAGGCCCTGCATGAGCTGGTCTTTGTCTGTTTGCCAAATCCTTAAACTACAGTGGCAGACAAACATTAGGTACTCAACCAATACTTCTCCTCAGAAATCTTTTAGGCTTTATGCACTTCCCAAGGAACTCATTCACAGATCATGGACTAGGAATCTCTAATTTATACTTTTGGAGGGGAGGTCTGCTAGAGTCTGCTTATACTGGCTCCCAAGAGCCAGATATTAAATTTTCAAGAATTTTGGAAGCCATTGTTAAAAGCTAGAATATATAACTCTACAATGAAATAAATTGCATTAAAAATAAAATAATAAATACACAAAACTCATCAGTTCCTAATTATTTTACTATATTTTTACAATTACCTAGGTTCTTGAGGTAGTTTATGTCTGTCATATCTGTACGGTGGAAATACTATATAATGCCACACTGCTGCTCATTTCTTCCCAATGCTATATGCAATGATGGCATGTTGAGTAAAAGCAGCCATGGTAGAGGTATGTAAATGCTATAAATCATTGACTTGTGTCCCCTCTTGAAAGCTGATTGTTAAACCTTTTATCAGCATACCACTGAATATAATAATTCTTGGTAGTAAGTTTTATTAATTCAGAAATAACCAAAAATGTGACTAAGGTTCAGTCCTGCCCGTTTATAGGCAATGCAGTGAAATTCTCTCAAGACTTTTGCTTCCTATACTTTGATGACTCTATGTGTATTAGAAAAGAATTAACCGCCAGGCACAGTGGCTCACGCCTGTAATCCCAGCCCTGTGGGAGGCTGAGGCGGGTGGATCAACTGAGGTCAGGAGTTCAAGACCATCCTGACCAACATAGTGAAACCCGTCTCCACTAAAATACAAAAATTAGCCGGGCGTGGTGGTGGGAACCTGTAATCTCAGCTACTCGAGAGGCTGAGCCAGGAGAATCACTTCAACCTGGGAGGCAGAGGTTGCAGTGAGCCGAGATCATGCCATTGCACTCCAGCCTAGGCAGCAAGAGTAAAACTCTGTCTCAAAAAAAGAAAATAATTTACATGTATCCAGAGCTTTTTTGAGTCGGCACTTTGCTAAAGCATTTTACACAGATTTACTATTAAATATTTGTTACAACCATTTTGCAACAACAACAACAATTCACGATTAAGTTCTAGAATTCAAGGGGAAGTAAATGGTAGTGTCATAAATTACTGCAACATTTATACTATATTCATAAACAGTGGGAAAAGCAGTATTTTGTAAAACAATGCTAAATTGGAATTGTTAAAAAGGGGAAGACATAAAAACAGTTTGATTCTAGTTTTTTAATATATAATAATAACACCAAATTAATTTTTAATACATGAAAATATTACTGAATTAGCCCCCTCTTCTATTTTACAAAATTAATATTTTCAACTATTAACTCTCAAATAAAATTTCAATGTGATCTACCCTAATCTTGTCTTCAAATGGCATCTATTGTTTAGAGCCTCCCAACACTCACAGAAAAAGTAGTTTTAAAAATAAGTTCAAGCACTATTCACAATAGCAAAGACATGGAATCAACCTAGGTGTCCATCAATGGTGGATTAAATAAAGAAAATGTGGTATGTATATACTTATAAAACATATACCATGGGATACTAAACAGACATACAGAAGAATGAAATCATGTGCTTTGCAGCAACATGGATATAGTTAGAGGCCATTATCCTAAGCAAATTAATGTAGGAACCGAAAGCCAAACACCACATGTTCTTACTTATAAGAGGGAGCTAACAATGAATACTCATAGACACAAAGATGGCAATAATAGACACTGGGAACTACTACAGGGGAAAGAGAAGGAGGGAGGTAAGAGTTCAAAACCTATTGAGTACATGGGTGTCAAAATCCATTATTGCCCAAACCTCAGCATTACCCAATATACCCAGGTAACAAAATCTGCACATGTACCCCTTGAATCTAAAAGATGAAATTGTAAATAAATCAATAAAAATGAGCTTTAAAATGCACTGAGGAAATGAAGAGGCCAATGAACTAGCTCTTTGACTCACATAAATACCCATGCAGAAATGTGTTCCACGTAAAAGTCATGAAAATACTGAGTTTAAATATCATACCAACCAGTACAAAAACATACTAATTATAAACTAGATCTCAACTTGTTTACGTCTATCTATAAAAATACGAGAAAATACTGTTGGCATTATATATTTAATGTACCATAAAACTGATTATCCTTTAGGGAAAAACTTCTATGGTAGCTGCTAAAATGAATTTTGGAATAGGCAGTGGAATAGAAAAAAGGTAATCTATTGGCACAATCACCCAACATCTTTGTAGATAATTTTTAGGATATGCCTCCTAGAACAGTCTATTGCTCATTTACATAATTCTCATAGGTTCCCTATGCAATGTACAATATTTTCTTATTTATCTAAGTGACACAATATATTAGAAAGTTGTTTTGCTTTTGACTTTAAGTAGCATTTTGTAAAATGTACTTTCATCATACTAAACACAATGTATAGTACACCTTGATTAAGTAACAGAGACAGATACCAACTGTCTACTTCAAACTTAAAAAAAAAAATCAATGGGGTTGAAAGTTGTTAAAAAAAAAAAAAGAAAGCAGAAAAAAAGAATGCCTCAGAAGATGTTTACTCATCATCTGATGAGAACTAAATCTACATTCCTGAAAAGCAAAAATAATTTTAAGGGCTAGAGGATTCTTAAAATTACTGAATTCTGCTGGCTATTTTCACGTCCCTTCTCAACTATATCAGAACACTAAGTTCTGACTTTAGCCCAATGTAGTTTTCACTGTATTAATTCTGTATCTTAAGATAATAGTAATATTAGTAACAACAATCATACAGGAAGCAGAGTTCAATGCTGAATTACCATATTTGAGATTGGCATAATTAGCAAACAAACTGTAGAAAATAGCAATTACATCTTTGACAAGAGATTAAAAACAACCAATGCCATATTACCAAGTGAATTATTTACTTTGTAGGAGAAATGAGGTAAAGGGATACATTACTTCTGGCCAATAGGAAGTTAGACTAATTACCAATGGCAATTAACATCTTGTCTTCTTTGTAAGACAAGACATGGTGCAAAAGGAAATAAATAATTCTAAGTCTTGTTAAGACTATCCTAAAGGCCATTGCCAGAAGCTATTAAAAACATAATCTTAAAAATATTCAGTCTATTGGAATATATCCCTAATTCTAATTAAAAGCTGAATAAACTTCTTGCTAGTATTAATTAGTTGTGGGTGTGAATTTCATCAGGTCCCCATCGTATTAATGAAGGACATTCATAAAATAGATAGTAAAGATAAATTTAAAAGCCAACCAGTGGCCTCACCCTCTTTTTTACTCAAAATATAGTTTATATTAATAAACTGGAAAGACATCAGAAGTGTAGACAGCTACTGTAAAGTAAATATTAAATGTAGGACTCAATCAACAAGAATAACTATAAAGAATATGATGCCAAAATAATATGACACGAATAACCCTTCACTGATCCATTAAAAATGTGGCTGGTTGACAAAGAACAAATTAATGTTTTATTATTAGTACTAGAACTTTTTGAACTTTTCATCATCTACAAATGCACAGGGATTAGAAATAAAGACATTAACCAAAAAAAAAAAAAAAAAAAAAAAACATATAATGGAAAATTGTAAACTAGAAAAAGCCGCAACAAATTCAAAAGCACTTAAATGTTTATACTGATTGCATGAAGAAAAATTCAGACTTTTACAAACAGATCTGGCCAGGTTGGAGTACAATATAATTGCTGCAAATAGACTGGCTGGAGCCGGCTTTAGGAAAGTGACTATAATAATAAAGGAGGAAAATACAGTTATGTGGTGTATTTGGTAGCACAACTTTGCATTCCAACACAGATCTTAACAAATCTAAGTTGCTTAAGACATACAAGTCTAAATTCTTTACTAGCAAGGTAAATATTTTTGGAACCACAGATATTTTAAGAAGATCTTAAAGTCTTTCAATCCAGTGGTAACAAAAATAACTTTTAAAATCTATTTTTATTTTTTATGTTTTTGTCTGTTAACATTAAACAGATGTTATTTACGAAAATACAGATAAACAGATAAACAGGTGAACTCTGGACTTCAAGAAAACTGAAAATACTGTTGACATAAATTTATTAAAATCTGATACAGATGAAGGGAGAGGGAAAACAAACGGTTTCCTTATACTACACCAGGTTAAGAGACAGCGGAAGAAGGTGTTTAACAAAAATTGATTTTTATATGAGTGAAAAGTGTTCAAAATAAAATGATTAAGCTATGAAAAATAGAACAGGCCAGGAACATGACACATTCACTTCCCAAGGAAGAAGAAAACAGTTACTACTGTGTAAGAATTCAGTAGAGTAATTAGTTAAGCTTGTAGGCTTTGTAGCCAAGACCTGCTGGGTCCCATCCAGTCTCTACCACTCACCATCCAGCTGACTTTTGAGAATTAGATGAACTAATAAAGTATTCAAAATACTGCCCGACACATAGTAAATCTTCAATAAATCTTAGTAGTGATGGTGATGTTGGTGACTAGGTGATGCCACTACCCCACAATAGGTTACTTGCTATGCGAGGATGGGAGATCATTATTTATGAAGAGGATTTTTGAGTATGGAGACAGAGGTGTTTGAGTGACAGATACAACTATTAAGCACTTCAAAGAACTTATGTGAGTAAATTCTGAAGAGTTTGTTAATGGATTCTAAAGGCTGTAAAAATGCTTCAATCTCCAACCCTTTTCCTTCATCTGAAAAAAGTTCCAGGGTGAGAATTTACAGAGGGGGAAAAAAGGGGAGAAACTGTGATTACTAAGTAACTACAACTTCTGAAGACTTATTCCAAGTTATTTTGGGAAATATAGAGCAAAACTCCCATCGTAAAATAACTGTGTTGCATGCCAGAAGCATTTAAAATAGACCAAGCCAAAAATGGGTGTAAGTGCATTTTGTTTCACTAATAACAACTAATAATTTGGAAGAAGAGAGTACAATTAAATATATACTTTTAAATTACTAAGTACTACATTGTAGTTGCTATCTTACGAGTAGATAATTATATGTTCACAAATAGTGTTATCTAAGAAGTAGTATGCTTGGTAACCAGACATAAAAATTTTTACTAGTAACTTTCTGAAATACCTTTGAATCCAATGAAAAATAATTTCATTTTTAAAATAATAATTCCAAATTCAGATTAAATTACTTGATAACCAAAGTCAATAACTGATATCTCAAATAGTTGCCCTTATAATGAACTTTAATTTTCTGAATGACATAAAAACCTGTACCCTTTAAGAAATACATTATGACATTCTATATAGAATTATGTTATCAAATACATGTTTTTACAATTGTCTATTAATATAAATTTGTGTTTAACACTGTGTTCTGAGCTGAGTGGGACTTTAGACATTGAAAAATAAAAGTAACAGAAACAGCAATGGCAGTGATTCTCACACAATAGCAGTTCCGTTACCTTCAGCTACCACAAAAGGAAGGGAAGGAGGGAGAAAAAAAGGAATAAAGGAGGAGAGAAGGAAAGAAAATGGTATCATATTTTCATAATTATGGCACTTTATTTTAACACACATTATTTTTGTATGACTAAATAGTTAATATAAAAAACAGCAAGTTACAAAAGAGATCAAATATTTGACAGTCAGACATACATAGGTATTTTATTTTCACTCAAAAAGATAGTAACTGGAACACCAGTATCTACAGTTCCCATACTCCAATAAACCCACACTTCTACCTAGATCCTACTTAAATAAATGAGGTGAGAAAGTATACACGTATGTGTGCAAATAATAAAAATTAGAACAAACAACCAATAGAGGAATAAAATTTAACTGGAGGCTCACATGACTACAAGGATATGAAAAAGTGTTCAGCTGGAATTAAACTTGACATTATAATATTGGGAAAAGGTGGTGGATGCTGACAGTAATAAGCAAAATGGACTCTTAGGCTAAAAGGTATAATGAATAAAGTTCACTTAGTAGAAATATAATCCATACATTTTTATTAGGCAAGAATAAACACAAGAAAAACTTGACAAATCTATAATCAGAGTAACATATCTGAATATATGTCTCAATAATTGATAGATGAAATAGACACAAAATTAGTAAAGATAAAGCAGATTTGAATATCACCATTAAAACATCTGACCTATGGGACACATGCAGAAACCTGTATGAATTACTTGAAAAATACATTCTTCTAAAATATGTGGAACACTTAGGTAAATTAATCATTTACCCACAATATAACATATATCTTGACAAATATAACTGTTATTGCATAGGCTATCATCTCTAAACATAATGCAATACAACTTTAGTTTAAAATACCTGTTCTTTTGAAAGAAATTACACCTGCTTCTAAATGACAAGTGAATCAAATAAATCAGCATGAGAATTAGAAAACCCTTAGACCTAAAAGATAATGAAATTAACTCCATATAAAAATTTGTGTAGTGCAACAATCCAAAACAAGAAGCCAAAAAGGAAATTTGTAGTTTAAAAAGCTTAGAGTGAAAATCAAAATCTGAAAATAAAATGAACTCAATGTCCAATTTAAAATGTTAAAAATGAATATAATAAACCCAAAAATGTATTAAGAAATAAAGAGTATGAATTCATTTAAAAATATCTACAGAAAGGAAGAACTACTTTTTCACCATTTGCTTGCTTGTTTAGAATATAATATGATATAATATAGAATATAATATAACAGATAATATAATATAATGTAACGGATAATATGAATTCCTGTTTTAGTCAATGAATTATAATCATTTATCCTACTTTAATTGGATAAAGGGAACTCCTTCATGCTGACTTGTGTCTTTTCAACAAGATTTCACCCATTGAGTACAACTTTACTTTCTAGCACAAGATGTTATATGATATTCTGGGCAAGGATGAATAATATGAATCTAATCATGGGGAAACATTAGAAAAATCCAAATTGAGAAACATTCTATAAAATAACTGCCCAGTATTCTTTAAATATGTCTATGTCATTAAAGACTGAGGCACTGCTCCATTTTACAGAAGACTAAAGAGCTATGGCAGTTAAATGCTACATTATCTTATACTGAAGAAACAAAATTGTCATAAGAACATTACATGGACGGTTGTAAAAACTGGAATAGGGACTGTAGATTAAAGACTGTATTTATGTTAATTTCCTAAATATGATAAATACACTATAATTTTGTAAGAGAATATCCTTGTTCTTAGGAAAAATACACTGAACAATTAGGGTAAAAAGCAGGCTGTAATGCAACTTACATCACATAGTTCAGAAAAAAAGTGTTTTTTGTGTATGTGGGTGTGTGCGTGTGGGAGAGGGAGAAAATGATACATTCAATGTGGCAAATGTTAAAAATTGGAGAATTTAGGTAAAAGGTATACAAGAGGGCTTGAGAGTATCCTTGCCAACAGCTGATTATTTGCAAAGACCAGTGAAATGGACAAGAAAAAAAGAAAAAGTACAAATAAACTATGTTAGGAAGAAAAAGAGGGACAAAACTAAAAGTAAAGATTTAAAAATTAATAAAGAATACAATATAAAGGTTTATGACCCTGAATATGAAAACTTAAGTGAAACAAGCCAATTTCCTAAAAAACTGTAACTTACCAAACTAACTGAAAAATAAAATAGAAAACCATTAGAGACCTGTAACTATTAACGAAAGTGAATGACTAGAAAGCAACGACGACATGGGATGAGGGGAATGTGAGGTGAGATATACTGGGATTCCACCAGGACATCTTGGAAATATATCAAGGACTAGAGGTCAAAGAACAAGAATGTCACCACCTTTTATAGATACTGTAGGGGAATTCTACCCACAAAAGGGGAGGGCATTGTCAAAACTGACTCCTAATTAGGAATTAATATGGCTCTGACTCCTGGTAGGCACACTAAAAAATAACAAAAAACAATCGGGCACAGGCTTCCTGACTCAGCTTTTTCTTGGGTCCCCACAGGTTGCTAGATTTCTAAACTGCCAGAATAAAACTAAATAAGCTTAGGCAATTCTCTTTTCTCTCACTGGATTTCTATAATTTGGAGATGGGCTCATATAATGTTGATGAAATGAATCTCGAAGATCTAAGACTTTAACAGTTACGAACCTTATGAACCAATTGATACAGCAATACCCTATTATAACACAGAAACCATTTAGAAACACAAAAATATCCAAAAACATGACAGTTGGAGATATTCAACCTTTGAAAGTTAAACAAAAAAGTATGTATAAATTTGAATAATTTAATAAATAATGTTAAATTTTATAAAACCAAAACTTTATACTATAGTGAACTGAAGTCTTTTCAAAAGTCTGGACTTTACAAAGGAGGAAAAATCTCAAATCAATAATTGAAGTTCCTACCTCCAGAGACTAAAGAAGGGAGAGCAAAATAAACCCAAAGCAAGCAAAAAGAAAATGACAACAGAAATAAAATTGAAAATAGAAGAAAAATCAGTGAAACAAAAACTACTTTTCTAAAAACCAATACAATTGATACATCTCTAGCAAGACTGACAAAAGAGCAAAGCCACAAATCCATTACAGGAATGAAACGGGATACTGCTAAAGTTCCTGCAGCCTTTAAAAGAATAACTGAGGTACTAAGAACAACTTTATGCTCATAAGTTAGACAACTTAAAAGAAATTGACCGATTATTTAAAAATCACAAATTATAAAAATTCAACCATGATGAAATAGATAACCTGAATAGTCGTATAACAATTAAAGAAACTGAATTTGTAATTTAAAATCTTCTGAAGAGATCTTCATATTGAGATAGTTTCAATGAAAAATTCTACCATCTAAAAACGAACTAACACCAATTTTACAGTCTTTTCCAGAAAACAGAATATGAGGGAGTACTTCCCAACTTATTTTAATGAGGCCAGTATTACCTTGACACCAATATTAAACAAAAACAGTACCAAGAAAACCCCCACCGACCTACAGACTATTATCTCTAATGAACTTAAATGCAAAATTCCTCAACTGAATATTAGCAAACCAAGTCCAACAACGTATCAAAAATTATACACCATGACCAAGTGGGATTTATTGCAGAAACAGGGCTGGTTCAATATTTAAAAATCAATCAATATAATCTATCGTATCAACAGGCTAATGTGATCAATTGACACAAAAAAAATTTAACATACTCCAATATCTAGTCATGATACAAATTATCAGCAAGTTAGCAAGAGTAGAATTATCTCAATTTGATAAAAAATGCCTGCAAGAAACCCCAGCCAACAATATACTAAAAGTGAAAGAGTGTATGTGTTTTGGTTAATATCTGAAACAAGGCAAGGATGTACTCTACTACCATTGTATTCCATATAGAATTGGAGGTTCTAGCCACAGAAATAAGGGAAGAAAAAGAAAAGACATATAGATTGAAGAGGAAGAAATAAATCCCTTCCTATTTGTAGATGACATGATGTCAACATTAAAAAATTCCAGGGAATTTAAATAAAGAATTAAATATGTCTATGTAACAGGATACAAGAACAACAAATGAAAATTAATAGCATGTCTATATACAATGGACATGCAGTAACCAAAATTAAAAACACAATAGTATTTACAATTGCTCTAAACAAAACATTTAGGTATACAATTAACAAAACATATAAGAAAAACATTCAGGTATACAATTAACAAAACATATAAGATCTATGTGTTGAAAATCACAAAATGTTAATGAAAGGATTCAAAGACCTAAACAGAGACACAGTGTATTTATGAATTAGAAGTTCATCATAGTAAAGATGTCCATTCTCCCCAAGTTGATCCACAGGTTTAATACAATTCCTATCAAAACCCCAGTAAGGTTTCAGTAAGGTTTTTTTGTAGATACATACAAGAATATTCTAAAATTTGGCTGGGCACAGTGGCTCATGCCTGTAATCCCAGCACTTTGGGAGGCAGAGGTGGGTGGATCACCTGAGGTCAGAAGTTCAAGACAAGCCTGGTCAACATGGTGAAACCCCCGTCTCTACTAAATATACAAAAATTAGCGAGCGTGGTGGCAGGTGCCTGTAATCCCAGCTACTCGGGAGGCTGAGGCAGGAGAAAAGCTTGAACCTGGGAGGCAGAGGTTGCAATGAGCCGAGATCGCGCCACTGCGCTCCAGTATGGGCAACAAGAGCGAAACTTCGTCTCCAAACACACACACACACACACACACACACACACACACACACAAAGAATAGTCTAAAATTTATATGGAAAAGCACAGACCCAGAATAGCTAAAACAATATTGAGAAAGAAGAGTAACATGGGAGGAATCATTCTACTCTGTATTAGGAATCATTCTACTCTGTATTAGGGCTTCTTATATAGCCACAATAATACAGTGTGTGATACTGGTGGAGGGATGGACAAATAGAGAAATGGAACATAATAAAGAACACAAATATGCTTACCTGATTTTTAATGAGAACAAAAGTAATTCAAGGGAGGAATCCAATCTTTTCAACAATGGTGCAGGAAAAACTGGACATTCATAGGAAAAAAAACCCCTTGATCTAAGTATCACAATTTACACAAAAGTTAACTTAAAATGGACAATGGGCTTAAATGTAAAAGGTGAAACTATTATATAAAACTTTCAGGAAAAAAACACAGGATAAATCTTCATGACCTATGGCTAGGGAAAGAGTTCTTGGACTTGTCACCAAAGTATGATCCATGAAAGAAAAACTTGATAGATGGGACCTTATCACAATTTAAAACTTTGGTCTGCAAAAGGCCATGTTCAGAAGATGAAAAGACAAGCTACAGACTGGGAGAGAACATTTTCAAACCACGTATTCCAACAGAGGACTTAGTAGCTAGAATATACAAATAACTCTCCAAACACAATAGTAAAAAAGCAAGGCTGGGTACGGTGGCTCACGCCTGTAATCCCAGCACGTTGGGAGGCTAAGGCGGGCAGATCACTTAAGGTCAGGAGTTCAAGACCAGCCTGGCCAACATGGTGAAACCCCATCTCTAGTAAAAATACAAAAATTAGCCAGGTGTGGTGATGCATGCCTGTGGTCCCAGCTACCTGGGAGGCTGAGGCAGGAGAATCGTTTGAACCCGGGAGGCAGAGGTTGTAGCGAGCCAAGATCACGCCACTGCACTAGAAGAAGACGCTATCTACAAGAAAACCCCTCAAACAATCCAATAAGAAAATGGGCAAAAAGACTGACATTCGCCAAAGAAGGTACAAATAATCAAATGAAAAGATGATCATTAGTCATCAGAAAAATGCAAATTAAAACCACAATAAGTTATTATCACTACACATCTCTCAGAATGAGTAAAACAAAAAATAGTGGCTACTTGAAATGCTGGTGAGGATGCTTAGAAAATGGATTGCTCATAAACCGCTGGTGGCAATGTGGCATGATAAACCCACTCTAGAAAAAAGTTTTGCAGTTTCTTAACAAAACTAAATATGCAACTACCATACAACCCAGCCACTGCATACCTGGTCATTTACCCCAGAGAAATAAAACTTACATTCACAGAAAAAACATGTATGTGAATGTTCACAGCAACGTTATATTTAGTCCCAAACTGGAAACAGCCAAGATGTCCTTCAGTAAGTCATATAAATACATATCACAGACTACTACTCAACAATAAAAGGAACAAACTCTGGAGATACTCAATAACCTGGATCAACCCTCGGAGAATGATCATGAAAGAAAAAAGGTCAATCCTGAAAGGTTACATACTTATTATTACACTTTTATAACATTTTTTGAAAGACAAAATTACGGAAATAATTGAGAGAACAAAATAGTGGTTGCCTGGCAAAAACGGAAATAGATGTGGTGATAAAATCAACAGAAAGAAGAGATTCTTGTGGTTGTTAAACTGTTTTGCATCTTGTCTGTGGTAGTGAAAACGTGATAAAACTGTACAGACTTAAATAAAATACACACAAAAATGAATACAAGTAACTGAGGAAATCTGAATATGATAGATTGTATCAACAGAAATATCCTCGCTGTGATATGACAATATAGTTTTGCAAAATGTTGCCACTGGGAAAACAGGTTAGAGTGTACACAGCATTTATTATTTCTTACAATAGCAATTAATAATCTACAATTATCTCAACAAAAATTTCAATTTAAAAAGTCTGTGAGACATTTGCAAAATCAGATTTCATAAAAATTAGTATCAAATTCTAGTCTGGGGAGGTGGAGAACATAAGAACACTTCCTTATCATGGTAAAGGACATCTCAAGACAACAGCTGACATCATACTTATCTGTGCAACATTAGAAATTCCTTTAAATTCCCAAAGAAAATAGATATTATATCACCAATATTGTCTAACATTATTCTAAAAGCTGCATGAAGAGCTTCAAAAGATACCAAAAATGATTTTTAAAATATATCATTTACAATAGCCCCTTGCCACATTTTTATAACCCTAAGAAAAAACTTAAGTAAATGTACCTACATGCGAAAAAACATAAACTGTCTGGAGTTCTGAAAGAATAAGCAAAAATATACCCCTCCCCACAAAAGTTAAAGTAAGTCTAATGAGAAAAACTAGCACTAGCAGATACTAAACTTCTTATTAAAGTTACCATAATTTAGAGAGTGTACATGCATATCATAGAATACTACTCAACTAACAATCAACAGACAAACAGTACAATGGAATAGGAAGTACTATGGACTGAAGGGATTGTGCTCCCCTCAAATTCATATGTTAAAGCCCTAATATCCATGGTGACTACATTTGGAAATAGAGCCAGGGAGGAAATGATAAAGGTTAAATGAGGTCATAAAGGTGGGGCCCTAATCTGATAGGGCTAGTGCTTTTATAAGAGGAAGAAACACCAGAGCTCTTTCTCTAGACCATGTGAGGACATCTTGAGAAAGTGACAGTCTGAAAGCCAGGAAGACAGCCCACACCAGAAACAGAAAATTGGCCAATACCTTGGACTTCCCACCTTCCATAACTGTGAGAAAATAAATTCTGTTGTTTAAACCATTCAGTCTACGTTATTTTGTTACGGCAGCCCAAGGAAACTAATACAGGAAGTCAAGCACATAGAAGGCACTCAGTGGTTGATTAACCAAAGGAATACTACAGTCAACCACTCAATTAAAAGCATGACACATTCAAATTATAATTTAGAATGTAATAAAACAAAAGTAGTGCAGAAACATTTGGAAAGCTAATAAGTATGGTCGATAATTTGAGGTCAGAGTTTGGGCTTTAATTTAGCTATGATAGAGGCTATTACAGTTTAATGGCAATTGGAAGATAATGGAAAGGATGTGAAATAAATTACGAAATATACCACAATCAGGTATAAAAGAGAACAATGAAGCCAAGACAATATTGATGAGGCTGACAGACCAAATCAACCAGTGAAAAGCAGTAACTACAGAAAGGAATGATGTTAGTTTAAAATAAATTGTAAAGAGGAAATATGTCAGATGCCAAATGCAGGGTTTGAAAGAAGAAAGAGGAAATGTAATAATAAAGAGTTTGCTGAAGAAAGGTGAAAGTGTTAAGCTAAATGAGAAAATAAAGGCAACCAGGAAGGTATAATAATTTGGGACATTTTCTAAATCTTAATTTTCAGGAACCAGTTCCCACAAGGCTCCGGGGAAAGAGAACAGAAATGCTAATAGGCAGACTTCTTCCCCCTCTTCAAGGTATGCTAGCAATATTAAATAATTAACTGTTGCAAAACAACTGCTGGGGAAAAACTACAAAATTCATGGTTGTACAGAAAGTAATTAATAGCATAATTTATTACCTTTTCAATGGGTTAATAATGAAAAGAATGGGATTCTGGACTGGTTATTATTATCATTTATCTCAATTCCAATTCTTCACAGCAAAATTGTTTGTCCAAGGTGCTTTAACCCAGTTTTCCTATTTTTCCATCTATGACAGTAAAAAGGAAACCGTTTCCTGCCATTATTGTTTTCTGAGCATTAGCAACATGTTTATCAACATTCTCTACTCCACATAATCTCTCAATATGCTATCTATATAGTGCCATATTTATTAATGTAAAAGGGGAAGGGCATTTTCTTATACATGGTACTTCTGATGAACTACAAGTAACTCAGTAAGGAAATACCATGGAAATGATTACCTTTGAGAAAAAAGGCAGACAGATTAAAGGCAAAGGAGGACAGGGCCAGATTATAAACATTTTCTATGTGGAGATGAAATTGTCTCTAGGAAATCAGTGGGGAATCCTAAAGAAGTATTAGACCCAAGTTTTAGAAATTTAATTATGGTAAATAACACAGAAGTTAGAAGGAGCCAGGTAAAACTGGGCAATGAAAAAAAAAATAGTAGCCTTATTTGCAGGAAAGATATGAGAGGGGTAGAGATTAAAAGAATGAAACAGAATCAAGAATAAAGAAGATCTGTTTGAATAAATGGAGGGATCACTGATAATTCCTAAGTTTATAACTATTGTTGATGCACATTTTGAGAACATTCACCAAATCCAAACAATTTCAAGATCTTATATAGTTTAACATAAGAACTGAAACAAGATAAATTTATTCTACTTTAAGAATACTGAAGATTTGAAAATCTGAACATACAAACTAAAACATAAGATCTTAATCACCATATAAATAATCTTCACACGAATGTTACCTACATTCTTGGTAAGGCCTTCCTTGGTCACTGTGTCTATATACATTTTAGCCAATCCCCACACCCAGCAAAAAACTTCCCTATACTCCCTTTTCCTACGTTTTTTCCCCTTAGCACTGTCTAGCATATCATTTTCCTGTTTTACTTATTGTAATATTTATCTTCCACTAGAATGTATACTACCTCAAGAACTGAGATTTCTATTTTTGTTCACTTACATATTCCCAGTGCCTACAACAGTGCTTAGCACACAGTAGCCACTCAACAATATTTATTGCATGAATGAACAACCCACCTTTAAAACGAAAAAAAAAAAAAGTTTTTTTTTTTTGTTTTTTATTTTTTGACAGTTTCACTCTCGTTACCCAAGCTGGAGTGCAATGGCGTGATCTTGGCTCACTGCAACCTCTGCCTCCCACATTCAAGCAATTCTCCTGCCTCAGCCTCCTAAGTAGCTGGGATTACAGGTGTCTGCCCCCATGCCCAGCTAATTTTTTGTATTTTTTTAGTAGAGGTGGGGTTTCACCATGTTGGCCAGGCTGGTCTCGAACTCCTGACCTCAGGCAATCCACCCGCCTTGGCCTCCCAAAGTGCTGGGATTACAGGTGTGAGCCACCGTGCTTGGCCTAAGAAAAGAGTACTGAAGGAAAATACTGTAGGATTCAATGAAGTTCCTTTATTGTCAACTAAGGTTAAAAAAAACTTAGCAACATATTGTCTACTGAAATATGAATGAAAGGGTTGTTTGAGAGATTGACTGAAAAGATTTAGATTAAATTAAAAAAGAAAACAATAAAAAAATACTGAAGCCAGAAGGAATCTAGTTAAGGAAAAAATTGGAGGCACAATGTAATAGCGAAGACATGAAATTGAAGAGCAGTAGGAGGGGAATAAAAAAGAAATGACAGGAAATTATAAAATTCCTCAAATGGAACAGTTCTGGGTAACAACGAGATCCAGGAAAGTAGCCTGCTGAAATGAAGACCAGAAGGTCGAGACTGCAAAGAAAAGTAGCCAAGAATGATGATGAGGCTCAGATGTAGAAAATCTGGCTTTGGGAAGAAATTGCTAAGATGAGTAGATGAAAATGAAAGCTAATAGATGCTAATCTGAATGCTACACAGATTCAATAATGGGATTTATATATGTGGGTGATAGACTAATAACTTGTAAGGGGAATAAGGAACAATAACAATACTCCACTATCTCTACTCCCACTCCCATTCTTTTCCTAACTGTGGTATTACGGTGAATAGGGGAACTAGTATCTTTCAAGAAACAAAACTGCTAGGAAGGCTGAATCCTAAGGAAAAGTTAGTTAAGGCAATTGGTTTTTAGTGGAGGACCACTTCTGTAGGACTGAAGTTTCACAAAGGAATAATTCAGAGGCACAGTGGAAAAGCTTAGCAGGAAATTCTTGTTCTGTACTTCGATAAAGTTCAACCCAAGGCAGAAAGATGTTTCCCTGGTCTTTCAAGATTCCCCCATGATAGAAAGGGGTGAGTCTCATTTTTAATAAAGCTACTGCTATATTATAACCACATTATTTTCTTCCTAGAAAAGAAATATTCTAATTTCGTTTTAGGCTACAGTAACTGGAAAGAAACCTTATTTTTAAAACATGCTCTTTTTAAACAATAGAACCATTATCTTAAAGGCACTTCAACTTCTATAAACAATTTTATCGACAACCTAATTACTTATTAATCATAAAAACAATTCCTTAATCTCTTTGGCAACTTCTTAAACTGGAAATATTTCTAGTTTTTCCTTTCTCCATTTCCACATTATCTTTGTCACTCTAAGTTTATAATGGTAACTGTCTTATAACCTTGCTTTTTCTTGTCCCCACAGAGCATCTTCAGGAATTCAAGCATTTTAAAAGATTCCTATCTTTCTACTCAGCCTATTCTTTTGTCATACCTTAGCCCATAATATGGTTTAAAAAGCATAGCTTTAGCAAATTTTAATAATACTAGCAAATTTATAATATTTTATTATCTATTATATAAACTAAAGAAAAACTACTTTAGATCCCCATGATAACTAAAAACTGTGTTTAGTAGTAAACAGATATTTTAGCAAACTTTTGATACTAGTTAATTCAGAAACTTAAAAAATCTTAAGCTGTATTATAATTCGGTATTTTAAATTTACATGTCACATACCATGTATCAGATAAAGATGGTCAAATAACATAACCTATACAAATGGTAAACATTTTGATAAAATGTTTGTAAGACAGAAGTGTCCTACTTACAGAGAAGAACCATTATATCTAATGAAAACTAAATAGGCAATGTGGAACTCTATGATGTACACAAATGAACAGTTAAATTTTAGTTAACAATTTAAATTATATGTGCTCCAAGGTAATACTAACTTGTATTAAAGAATTAAAGGAAGAAATCAAGGCTATGAAGATTTAGAAGAAAACAGAGGCTATAGCTCACACACATCAAGTAAGACTTTCTTTTCTTTTTTTTTTTGAGACAGAGTCTCGCTCTGTTGCCCACATTGGAGGTGCAGTGGCACAATCTCAGCTCACTGCCACCTACGCCTCCCGGGTTCAAGCGATTCTCCTGCCTCAGCCTCCTGAGTAGCTGGGACTACAGGCACGTGCCACCACGCCTGGCTAATTATTTTTTGTTGTTGTTGTTTGTTTTGTATTTTTAGTAGAGATGAGGTTTCACTGTGTTAGCCACGATGGTCGCTATTTCCTGACCTTGTGATCCGCCTGCCTCGGCCTTCCAAAGTGCTGAGATTACAGGTATGAGCCACCACGCCCGGCCAAGACTTTCTCAGAATCTGTCCTTAACAACGATCATTCCATCCCCAAGTGTCTCAAAGAAAGGTAGTACTTTCATTTTCTTAGGCTACAACACCAACCCCTGGTGTTTCTTTCAAATTCTTTCTTTCTCAATCATCCATAAAGCATGAAAGCCAATTATGCAGAGCAGTGCTTTCCAACTCTTCTCTCCTCAGGCACATATAGAACAGTAACATAAGGCAACCAGTCTGGAGGCCCCAGACACTCATGGCACACAGGTTGGAAAGCTCCAATTTAGAGTATCAAAGGATAATCCAGGAAATAAACTCCACCTTTTGTAGGCATCATAAAGATGCTTTATAGGTAAGCAACATAGGATCACTGAATGAGTGAATGAGTAAACACTGACTCAGTTACACAAAATGATGTCTTCTTGAACAAGTCTCAGGCAGCCTGCTCTTCATTTGTGCCCCCTTTCTTAAAAAAATAAAATAAAGTAAAATAAAAAATAAAAAAATAAAAATAAAACAGTAAAGTATATAACTTTCTGGGAATCGTAACAAGACTTATTTTTAGTACCTGTAATTGTAAATCAAAGGTTGGAAAAGTCTTCTGTGAAAGTGGTTCTCTCATAACTGATAAGGGCCATCTTCTTCACTATTGTTATCAGTATTCTGACTTACAAACACTCATTAAAATATTGTATTTATTAGCCACACGAGTGGTCATATACTCCTCTTCTGAATATTTATTCTTTCTTCAAGGGCATGAATTCATGGGATATGAGGGGCAAGAATCTCACTTCTAGAATTCATCTAAGGTAGAGGATTCTAAGATGGGATCCACAGGCAAAATGGTTACAGAACAGTTTTCAGCAACTGTCTTTCACATAACTATTACATCAGAACTACTACTAAAGTGCACTGTTTATTCACCGAGAAGGCTTTTAAAGGAAAGCTACCATTAATCTGGGAGGAACCCTGTAGACTTACAGACTCAGTAAACATAATACTTCTTTAAAAAAAAAAATCAAGAAACTAGAACTCAGGAAAATGGGTTAAAATAAAACCAATGAATAACCAATGAATAAAATCAATGACTACAGAAATGAACATTAGTGATCTCAAAATGCAGTGATATTGTAAACTAATGTATGTATATGTCAATTCTACTGCTGGACTTTTCAGAAGTAGTCTTGATCACAGTGTATTACCCAGCAGAGGGTGCAAATTAATCTCATTTCAATATCACCGTCTCATTTGTCTTGAGATTTCACAAGACTTCGCTATTTTCAATTTACAGCCATGAGTTATCGCCTCTGCCTTTGATCACACAAGTCCCCATAACCTACCTAGAATGCTATACTATAGTTAATCCCTCTAAGAAATATGGCAAATTTCTGACTGAAAGCTCTCCTTTATGGCAATACTGAGAGATGTTTCTTATCCCCGTTTCACAAGTAACAAGCTTCCTCAAAGAAAAATGGCTACGTGAAACATCAGGTGTTCTGATTCCTGTTACTTCTAGCAAAATAATCTATTTTCTTATTAGTCTATCAATATTCTATACCCTAGGACTAGGGTAAGTGCTCTTGATTTTTAAGCTGTCATAGGGAATAAAAGTTTCTGTTCTTTCTGAATCTCAGGTTTATTTTTACTAGCTTTATTTATGTTAAAGCCACACTCTGAACAATCACCCAATCCATCAATCTGTGCAGACTCATAATTAGTTATGCAGATTTGGTCCCTTATTATCCTAAACTGTCCATCTCTACTATATCCAATATTCTGTTTCACTGAGTTTTTTCTATTTCACATCTAGATCATCCTTTCCTTGTTCTTATAATTTTTCGAGCAAGCATTTTTCTCTCTTAATCCACATTTTACTTTCTACTACCTTTGTATTCTTAGGAAAAAGTTTATCTAGAAAAAAATGCCTTAGATTTTCACCATTTTACTCGGTTTCTAAAATAGACAATTTCTCCAACAATATTCCCCAGTTACCATTAGCTCAGACCAGAAGCATTATACCATCATAGGCGCCTTCTTAGATGTCTCCAGGCTTAAAAAAGCATTAGTATATGGCAGATCCCATTTTATCCAAGGCCAGACCACCTTTAAAAATTTAAACTTTTTAAAGATGACATATTTATCATATTTCACTTTTGACTTCAATCGGGGTTCTCTACTTAAACATATTTTGGCTGAGACACATTATACAATGTGTAGCATGGGTGAATCATAAACTCATAAAACATTAGTGTAGGAAGGCTTTCGAGATGATTTAGGATAACTCTCCCTTTAAGTGGGGAAGAAATTGGGGCAGTGAAAGTTAAGCAACTTTCTGAATTACTACAATGATTCAGATGTAAAAAAAATATGAAGAAACCAAGCCCCCAAACTGAAAGTAAGTCATATTCAAACTGTTCATGCATGGAAGAATTATTTGGAGCTCAAAACATAAGAAATAACAAAGATGCTAAATAAACAGATCCACAAATATATATTTAAAGGGAATTCTCGTTATTTTCAAGGCTCTATTTTGGGACTTTATTTTTATTTTGCGTCTAAGTGTATGCTCTTCTTTTTCTTGATACAGAAATGACACTAACATTACTCAGCTTTTCGGATGTAATCAGTTGTTTTTGGCCCACAAATGAAACAAAGAAAGTGAAGGAGCTTTCCATACTAATTAAAAAAGAGCAAATAACATTATCAAAGGTTAAACTGAAATTTTAAAATGTATACAGGTAAGAAACCACACATCTGCATGGAAGACAATAGTGTTAAAAATTAGGCTGGCCACCAGATAGTCTTATGAGACTAGAAAATAAGGGAATTAATAAGGGAATCACCTTGGCTATGTTCGAATAAAACTTAATTTGTGGATACTGAAATGGGAATTTCATATAATTCTTATGTTACACAAAATTATTATTTTTAATTTTTTCCAACCATGTAAAACTATAAAAACCATTATTAGCTCACAGACAATATAAAAACAATTGGTGGGCTTGCATTTGGCCTGTGGATTAGTTTGCCAATCTCTGGTCTAGGGAATAGCTGAGAGAAGGGAAGGCAGGATGTTACCGGTTGAATAACTAGGGGGACTATTTATTAACTCCTGCATTAAGCGTAAATGGAAAAGCAGCAACCCCATCCCCCAACAAATGTGTATCAATGTCAGTCTCAGTTTGAAAAAAAAATGTTGTATTTCACTGCCTTTAACACAGAAACAGCTCCAGAAACATAATTACTGATTCACAGGTGAAAAAAACTCACAACAGTATACTAATCATAACTTTAAACAGATAATTCATTATCTAAAATTATAGTATTAGATACATTATTCATTACCATTTTGTCCCTGAGTCGCTCTCCACGGATAAAAAAGTCAGCACAGCCATTCTCTTCCTGATGAGGGACTTTGAAGACAGTGACGCTGCTTAGTCCACTCCCTCCAAGTGGTAACCATCCACCACTTGAGTCATCTCGGGTCATCACCACAGCTCGCACTCGTGCATAACTATTACTAAAATAGATGCAAAGATCAGGAATTAGCTTTTCCATAAACAAAAAACAGCCAAGCCATCAGTCTTGTTTGAGAAACCAAAGAACACATTAGTTAACATGTGGTGACTAAGGTGTTTACTACTTCCATGAAAATCTACAGAAAGTAGCCTACTTGAAAGAGGTCAAAAACCAAAAACAGACTTTAAGGTTGTCCTTTATTTTAAAGACTACTCTTGTAATAAAAGACTACAAAACTACTACCTCAATTCATCATTTCAGTAGTTCCAGCACATCTGATTGCCACGGAACAAGTTGTGAAGGATCCCAGAGGCAAATACTGTCAAACTACACAGGGTACCATAAAACTTGTCTATATATGTCCATTTGCTACAATATTATAACCAGGACAAACTGCTGTATTTCAGCACATTAAACTGCAGCATCTAGAAGTCCCTAACAGTTCCAGAATATTATAAATCAAATGCTGAAACAAACATGCTTAGTTTAGCTACATTTTTAATTTATTCTACCAACTGGGAATCTGAATCACTTACACAAATCATATAAAGAAAAGTGTTATGCTTAGATTACTTAACAAGCAAATTGGTCTGTAGAAACTGTAAGAAATAAATTTCTGTTATTAGCTAACCAGTTTATATTTTTCTATAGTAGTCCAAAGAGAATAAGACACATGTATAATCAACATGATAATCAAAATACAGGCCATTTTCATCACTTCAAAAATCCTTATGCCGAACACAGAGATTTTGCCTGTTTGGGGCCTTCAAATAAATGGAATCAAACAGAATTACCATTTGTACTCTTTTTGTCTGACTTCTTTCTCTCATGTTGTTTTGTGTACCAGAAGTTAATTTTTTTTAACTAAGTAGTCCTCTAATTGAATAAATCTATCATAATTTATTCTTTCTTACATGGACAGGCATTTGGATTTTTCTAGTTGTTGGCAATTATGAATAAAGCTGTTATAAACATTCTTGTACATGTCTTTTTTGTAGACATTTTTTCATTTCTCAAATAATTACCTAGGAGTGGAATTAACGGGTCACAGGATAGGTACATGTTTAACTATACAAGACATTATCTTCCAAAGTGGTTGTACTGTTACACATTCCCATCAATAATGTATGACAGTTTCAGATGCACCACATCCTTGCCAATACTTGGTGTTTTCAGTCTTAACTTTACTCATTGTATTGAGTATATAGTGGTATCCCACAGCGTTTTAAATTTCTATTTCCATAATGACTCATGATGTTGAGCATCTTTTCATGTGCTTTTTGGCCATTTGTTTATCTTGTTTTTAAGTCTGTGACCATTTTTTATTATATTGTCTTTATTATGATTTTTAGAAGTGTTTTTTAAAATATATTCTGGACATAAGTATTTTTTAGAGAATATACTTTTAAAGTTGCACTGGGTTGTGGTTAAGAGTGAGAATTCTAGAGTCAAATTTCCACAAGTTGGATCTTGGCTTAGAAACTTACTATCTGTATGGCTTTGAGAAAGTTACTAAACCTCTGTGCCTCAAACTTACGTGTGAAATAACAGCACTCACTTATAATAAATGTAAACCATGCCTGACACATAACAAGCACTATATGAGTATTACTTTTTATTATCATTATGACAACAAAGCATTGAAAACCGAAGACACTACCATCCTGGTAATTCAAAATCAGGATCTGGGAAATAATTGAATTTTCATGTTCAACCATAATTATCTATTATTGGGGTCAAAATAATTCTTTATATAGAAACTCTGAAAGGGTTTGGCTTCATAATTTACTCTTTTGTGGAAGCTTTTTATTATTTAGTTATTCAGAGGCTCTGATTCTTATCTGGACCCAATTCTTGCCAATCTTCAACTCAGAGAAACAGTCAGAGGAAGTGCGGGTGCATGAAGGTTGGGTTGATGTAGATATTAAATTCTCCTGAGATGGGCTGGAGCAAGCTCCACCACTATAAACACAATATGCATCTTAAGAGGCAGTGGGAGCAGACTACATAATAACCACATTTGTGGGCTAGCTTCTATTCTAAAGCAAATTAAGAGAATCTTGTAAGATGTTCCTTCTTTATTAAAAACCTAAACTGTAACTCAATTTCTAATCTCTGATCATATTTGAATAGTAATTTCAAATATATCCTTTCATACACAGCAGGAGAACTAAACTACTGTCTCTGTACATTTTGTGCTGCTTTAACAGAATACCAGACTGGGTAGATGATAAAGAGAAATTTATTTCTCACAGTTCTAGAGGCTTGAAAGTCCAGAGGCTGGGAAAACCAAGATCAAGGCACCAGTAGGTTCATTGTCTGGAAAGAGGCCAATCTCCACTTCCAAGGTGGTGCACCTTGAATGCTGTGACCTCTGGAGGGGAGGAATGCTGTGTCCTTACATGGCAGAAGGTGGACAGCCAAAAAGCGATGGGCACCCTCAGTTCTTTTATTAGGATACGAATCCATTCATGAAGGTAGAACTCTTACTTTCATGATGGTAGGTGCTAAACACCTCCCAAAAGGCCGCACCTCCTAACACTGTTGCACTGGAGTTTAAATTTCAACATAAATTTGTGGGGGCAAAAACATTAAATCCACAGCAACTACTAATGTAGAAATCCAGGTGAGAGGTAATACTGAATTGAACTAGGACGATAACAATGGACACGAAGATGAATAGAGAGATTTGGTTATATTTTGGAGGTAGAGCCAAGAGGAAACTTGCTGATGAGATTATAACTACAAAACAAGTAAAGTGTTCCAAATCATCTAAAATTCTTAGTAGAATCCATGAGCTTCATTTCCTAAAATTTTCAGCTAGTATTTCAATAAAGTCAAAGGCAAAAGAAGATGACCAAACACACGAAGACAAATTTTGTCTCAGTTGTATTGGACCATGTAGTTTTGTTTGAAATGACAGTACTATATTACACATGAACCAGAATAACTCTAAAGCTATACTTTATTGCACTTTGTGGATAAATGTATGGCAGCAATTTCAAATTTACATATTGGCAAAATTTGTAATTTGATTAACAATCAAATTAATAGTTGCAGAAATTTTTACAAGCCCTAGTAGTTTTAACTGTCTGAAACGCAAAGTGTCCTTCACCTAAAGTGACCTGCTTTTTTAGTTTCTTTTCTCCCTTACAGAACTATCTTGCTTTGTGATTACCAAGCCTATTATATACCCCACCCAACTGCTAGACAAGTAGAAGGCTCAAGGAAGACATAGTCTGGAGATCTGAGATTTTATGTTTTCTCCTTGTTTTACGTGTCCATTATAAGGAAAAACCAGGCTTAAAACACTTAAAGTGTTTGATAGTCAAGCTCCTTAGAGAACATAAAGACTCTAACCATACACTGCACAGTTTTAATACTGATTCCCATTCTTCCCATTTCCTGGTCACAACCAAAAGTTCCCGACTCTTCCTTTTCTCTCCACCAAGAAGGCAGATAGTGACCATAATATTGTACTATAGATGCATACATGCTAATGCATGTATGAAACTTGTGATTTTTTTAGCTCATTGGCTGACACATGTATGAGTCTAGAGTACAGTATTATGCAAGTTTTTGTAATATTTATAAGCTTATAATACTTACATTAACCAGATGTTCAATTATGAGGTAAAATAATTGTGCATGATGTTCATAAATTAAAATTCTATCTATCCCCTATCCCTCTTACTGTTATTAGTTAATATGTTAAACATAATATGTATTCAACTTAATAACAGGAAAACAAAATTAACAAGCATTGTAGCACAATATTGACTCCTATGGAATTCTCATTAATTTTACATCGGTTTCATTTTCTAAATACAATCCTGTGTTGCATAATAACGTTTCCGTCAACAACAGACTCCACGTACAACAGTCCCATAAGATTACAATACCGTATCTTTATTGTACCTTTCTGACGTTTAGATACACAAATACTTACCATTGTGCTAAAACTGGCTACACTTTTCAGTACAACAACATGCTGTACAGCAAGCCTGTCCAACCTGTGGCCCAGGATGGCTTTGAATGCGGCCCAACACAAATTCATAAATTTCTTAAAACATTATGAAATTTTTGTGTGATTTTTTTTAAAGTTTATCAGCTATCGTGTTAGTGTATTTTCCCATCTAGGTTTGTGTAGGTACACTCTATGATGTTTGTGTGCACAATGATGAAATAACCCAACAATGTATTTCTCAGAGCAAATACGTATTGCAAAACACGTGACTGCTTTACTTAGCATACTTTTATTCTCTTGAAAGTAAAATAATTTCACGATTTACTTGACAGAAGATGCTGTAACTCCACTCAACTGGCACTCAAATATCTAATGTGCAAGGAAATGTTACCTCGATGAATCCAAAATTCATAGAGCCAATAAATCTGTAGCAAAGCAACTTTACCCTTTACACCAAAGATTAATTTTGTGAACCTCCTGGAAAGGATTATGAATCCCCAAAATTGTAATCAAATGTGAGTTTTTTTGCCACATATATATTTTCTTCAGGGGAGATAGTACATAGCTTTAATCACAATAGCATCTATGATTACCCTGGCCCACCAATTTAGGAACCACTGCTATACAAACAAAATGACTAGCAGTACAGCTCTGGCTCTTGCTCAGATCAGTTTCCTAAATTTGGATACATTTCTAACAGCCTGCTGGCCATTTATATTGTTTTGGTCGACTGTTCTTAAGCTTAACTTTTCTAAAATAAATTATCTGTCTTTCTCTTCTCTCTATACCTTTCTTTTCTATTATAATACATACCCAAGAAATACCTTGATATTAGCCCAGTGAGACCTATTTGTATTTCTGACCTCCAGGCTAAAATATAATAAATTTCTGTTGTTTTAAGTCACTAAGTTTATGGTAATTTGCCTACATCAGCAACAGGAAACTACTACAAAGGAGGAAACACGTTCTCGAAGATACAGTAATATATATACAGGAGAAAAAGATAACTTTTTCCATTTTTAATTACAATAGTATTAAAACAAAATCCTGACCTCCGCCCCACCAACCACCAAATTGAGGAAGTTCTTACAATGCCTTAAGATTTGTACAGTATAACAGGAACTTATTTATCCATTGAGGCATATTTATAGTGACAGAACACCCTTTGCTCTCTATATATTTTAAGTAAATATTAACCATCCAAATATTAAACATTATTACAGAGACTAGGTAGAAGAGAAAAGGGAAGCATTTAATAGAAGTAGGTTGGGATGATGTAGTACTTCACAGTGTAAGTACGTGCTTTCTAAACTATGTAGAATGCAGACATTCAGAAGATAACCACATTACTACTCAATAATCTATTCACTTAACCCATGAGATTCATATACTACATAAACAAAATTGAAAAGTTATGATCCTCTCCCTGTAGAAGCTCATAATCTAGTGGGCAAAGATACATTACCACATAATGGGAATATAGGAGATTACTAGTATTCATATTTGATGTAGGTTTTTAATAGCAGTATATCAGGTAGATAAAAGGCTAAGGACACTCAATAGAGAGAGCATGACACAAGTATATCATATTTAAGAACCAATACGAAGTTCAAAAGATGACAGTAGACATAAGCGATAGAGAGAAAGAAAGAAAATAGTAGTTGACTTACTGTATTAAGCCATGCATACTATGCTCAAGGTTAGTACTCTATTTTATCACGATAAAGAGACCACAGGATGATAATAAGCAAGAAAGCAGAATGTTCTGATTTGTATTTTAAAAGCTCTAAGAGCAGTAGGAGACCACTACTGCATTAACCCTAATGAAGGAGATATTTCTTCATCTTACAGAGAAGAGCTGAGTTTGATTAGAAAGACGAAGATCTGTATTACTCCTTTAGCACTGGCAACTCTAAAAACTAGAGCAAATATTAAACATGGCACTGTTTAATAACAAGTCAGATCTAGGTTCCAAAGGCAGTGTCACCTCTTAAAAGTTGTAATCTTGGAGCCGGGTGTGGTGGCTCACTCCTGCAATCCCAGCACTTTGGGAGGCCGAGGCAGGTGGATCACGAGGTCAAGAGATCGAAACCATCCTAGCAAAGATGGTGAAACCTTGTCTCTACTAAAGATACAAAAATTAGATGGGCGTAGTGGCGTGTGCCTGTAGTCCCAACTACTCAGGAGGCTGAGGCAGGAAAATTACTTGAGCCTGGGAGGCAAAGGTTGCAGTGAGACGAGATCACACCACTGCACTCCAGCTTGGTGAGAGAGCGAGACTCCGTCTCAAAAAAAAAAAAAAAAAAAGTTGTAATCTTGGGTAAATTACTTAAGCTCTCTATATCCCTATTCCTGGTCTATAAAATGGAAATAATAATATTTATCACAGTGCTATAAGAAATAAATGAGGTTATGCATGTAGATTTCTTAGCATTTTGCCTGGCTCATTGTTATGTGCCCAATAAATGTTATTACAATGACTTAATATATTAAATCAACTTTATGTTACTACAACCGCATTATCAAATTGTCTAAATTTGTCTCATTATTTATGATGATCTTGTATAAAAAACCAAGGTGACAGCTCCCTCTCAGAACTTTTAACGCTAAGAATTATTAATCATAGCTAAGTATGTGATATGGTTTGGCTGTGTCCCCCATCCAAATCTGAACTTGAATTGTATCTCCCAGAATTCCCATGTGTTGTGGGAGGGACCCAAGGGGTCTTAATTGAATCATGGGGGCCGGTCTTTCCTGTGCTATTCTCATGATAGTGAATAAGTCTCATGAGATCTGATGGGTTTATCAGGGACTTCTGCTTTTGCTTCTTCATTTTTCTCTTGTTGCCATCATATAAATGCCTTTCGCCTCCCACCATGATTCTGAGGCCTCCCCAGCCCTGTGGAATTGTTAAGTCCAATTAAACCTCTTTTTCTTCCCAGTCTCGAGTATGTCTTTATCAGCAGTGTGAAAACGGACCAATACAGTAAATTGGTACCAGTAGAGTGGGGTATTGCTGAAAAGATACCCAAAAATGTGGAAGTGACTTTGGAACTGGGTAACAGGCAGAGTTTGGAACAATTTGGAAGACTCAGAAGACAGGAAAATGTGGGAGAATGGCTTTGACAAAAATGCTGATAGTGAAATGAACAATAAGGTCCAGGATGAGGTGGTCTCAGATGGAGATGAGGAACTTGTTGGGAACTGGAGCAAAGCTGAATCTTGTTATGTTTTAGCAAAGAAACTGGTGGCATTTTGCCTCTGCCCTAGAGATTTGTGGAACTTTGAGCTTGAAAGAGATGATTTAGGGTATCTGGGGGAAGAAATTTCTAAGCAGCAAAGCATTCAAAAGGTGACTTGGGTGTTGTTTTATGCTGTTTTCAAAGGGAAACAGTATTAAAGTTCAGAAAATTTGCAGCCTGACAATGCAGTGGAAAAGGAAAAACTATTTTGTGAGGAGAAATTCCAGCCAGCTGCAGAAATTTGCTTAAGTAGAAAGGAGCCTAATGTTAATCCCCAAGACCATGGAGAAAACATCTCCAGGCCACGTCAAAGACCTTCAGAGCAGCCCCTCCCATCACAGGCCCAGAGGCCCAGGAGGAAAAACTGGTCTCACAGGATGGACCCACTGTCCCTGTGCTGTGTGTAGCCTAAGGACTTCATGTCCTGTGTACCAGCCACTCCAGCCATGGCTGAAAGGGGCCAACATAGAGCTCAAGCTGTTGCTTCAGAGGGTGGAAGTCCCAAGCCTTGGCAGCTTCTACATGGTGTTGAACCTGTGGGTGCACAGAAGTCAAGAATTGAAGTTTGGGAAATTCTGCCTACATTTCAGAAGATATATGGAAACACCTGGATGCCCAGGCAAAAGTGCTTCAGGGGCAGGGCCCTCATGGAGAACCTCTGCTAGGGCAGTGTGGAAGGGAAATGTGGGGTCAGAGCCCCGACACAGAGTCCCTACTGGGGCACTGCCTAGTGAAGCTTTGAGAAGAGGGCCACCATTTACCAGACCCCAGAATGGTAGATTCACTGACAGCTTCCACCATGTGTCTGGAAAAGCCACAGACACTCAACATCAGCCTGTGAAAGCAGCCAGGAGGAGGCTGTACCCTACAAAACCACATGGGCAGAGATGCCCAAGACCATGGGAACCTACCTCTTGCATCAGCAAGACCTGGATGTGAGACATGGGGTCAAAGGAGATCATTTTGGAGCTTTAAAATTTGACTGCCCCACTGGATTTAAGACTTGCATGGGCCCTGTATCCCCTTTATTTTGGACAATTTATTCCACTTGGAATGGCTGTATTTACCCAATACCTGTATCTCCATTGTATCTAGGAAGTAACTAGCTTGCTTTTGATTTTACAGGCTCACAAGCAGAGGGACTTGCCTTGTCTCGAATGAGACTTTGGACTCTGGACTTTTGGGTTAATGGTAAAACGCGTTAAGACTCTGGGGGACTGTTGGGAAGGCATGATTGGTTTTGAAAAGTGAGGACATGAGAACTGCAGGGGCCAAGGGCAGAATGATATGGGGTAGCTGTGTCCCCACCCAAATCTCAACTTAAATTGTATCTCTCAGAATTCCCACATGTTGTAGGAGGGACCCAGGGGGAGGTAATGGAATCATTAGGGCTGGTCTTTCTCATACTATTCTTGTGATAGGGAATAAGTCTCAGGAGATCTGATGGGTTTATGAGGGGTTTCCACTTTTGCTTCTTCCTCATTTTTCTTTTGCTGCCACCATGTAAGAAATGCCTTTCGCCTCCCGCCATGACTCTGAGGCCTCTCCAGCCATGCGGAACTATAAGTCCAATTAAACCTCTTTTTGTTCCCAGTCTTGGGTATGTCTTTATCAGCAGCATGAAAACAAACTAACACAGTATCAAATATCAGTCATCTAAGTCTTCCACAAACTGTTTATATAATGCAGACATCTGGGAATTCTTCCAGAAGAAGAAATAAAATTAAAATATGAGAGATGAATAGAGGTTTTCACAAACTACACCTTTAGAATCAATCATTTTAGGTTCTGCTAGACAGTATCATCAACCTATGAAAACAGTTCAAACTATAACTACTTCGAATGTCCCCTGCCTTCTGGTACTACTAGTGTCCATTCCCCATGACTCCTTAATTACTAGCATTGATACTATGATTTCATTCTGAAATTCTCTTGGTCTACGTCAGAAGAAGAGAACTATAAAAAGTATTCATTCTCAACAAAAGATCAAAACATAGAAGACAGGCAGTCAACATTAATATGAGAGTTCATGATGAGATAAAAGCATTAGAGTAAAATATGAAAAACTTTAAAATCATCCTATAGTTGGGAAAGCCTAAGATCCAGAGGCCATTAAAATATAAAAGGATAAATTCAACTATATTAAACACATTCCTGCATGGTAAAAACACCATGAACAATAAAGACAAAGATAACAAATTGGGAAAAAAATATGTAACACACATGTATTAGCTTTTTATTGCTGTCCTAACAACTACCACAAACTTAGCGGCTTACAACAACACAAATTTATACACTTCTGTGAGTTGGAAGTCCAAAGAGTTTCACACTGGGCTAAAATCAAGGTACTGGCAGTGCTGCGTTCCTTTCAAGAAGCTCTAAAAGAGAAAACAGTTTTCCCTTGCCTTTTCCAGTTCCTAGAGCCCATCCACATTCCTTGGCTCATGGCTCCCTCCTTCTACCCTCAAAGTCATGAATATTGCTTCTCTCTGAACCTTCTTCTGTAGTTATATCTTTCTCTGACTACAGTCCTATACAGTCAGGAAAGGTTATCCACTGAAGTGCTCATGTGATTAGCCCAGGTTCATCCAGATAATCCAGGATAATCTCCCTATATCAAAGCTCACAAACTTAATCACAGTTGCAAAATCCTAACATACTCACAGGTTCTGGAGATTAGGGCAAGGCCATCTTTGGGGAGGGGCAGGACATATTCTGTCTACCACAAATGGCATATAACAGGAAAAAAAAAAAAGGTACTTCCTTAAAAGTAACTCCAAAAATCAGTAAGAAAAGACAAACACCACAAAGGAAAAACAGGCTAAGTTCATGAATAAAATCCACAGAAGAAAAACATAAATGCCATGAAATACAGAAAAAGTAATTTTATTCAGAATAAGAGGAATGCAAATTAAAGAGATTACCTTTTTTTTTTCCATTTCAAAGCACTGATTGCAGTTTTTCTTAAACGTGGAATACAAAACTTGTAAAACCCCAACAAATTCATTTAATAATGACCACACTAATAATCAGGAATCATGGCAAAACTTGTTTTAGCGAAAAATTCCATTGGTTTAGAGGTAACTAAAAACACAGATTCCCAAGTCTACTCCCTGATTCCTAAGGTTTAAGGCACAGGAAACCTGTAGTTTAAATTCCGAAGGAAGTTATGATGTTGTATTTGGAATATTGGTAAACTAGAAAACTAATCTTAATTTTGAATAAACTAACTGAAAATTTGTTGCTGTAAAATTCTATCCAGAATAATTTATCTCATATCACTGCAGATAATGTAGCCTAACCAAACAGTTACTCTAGTTTAGGGCTTTGAATAATCCTAAATATTGAGTACTAAAGAAAAGCAATAAAAAAAAGACACAATATTCAAAGCAAAAAAATACTGAGTTAGCATAGCCTGGCAATATGAAATCTTATAATGGCTATAACTTAGAAGGCTATACCTCTCTGACCACCTCTCTTACTGCTTACTCACTATATTGCAATGATAGTATTTTTGTACTCCTTAAGTATAATAGTTCTCTTCTACCGTGGGGCTCTAGACGCTGTTTCCTTTAGTTGGGTATTCCCCTGAGATATTCTATCGGTTGCTCCTTTCTAAGCCATCAGCTAACAAGAATCCTCCTCGGAGTAGCACCAGCATCCATCCACCTTCTCTCCACTATTTCTTTTTCTGGTTTTATCTTCCTCATAATGCCTATGACTATCTGAAATTATTTATTTATTTATTGTCTGTCCTCCATTAATAGGATTTACGCTCCATGAGTAGGAACCTTGTTTTCCTTGCTCACTACAAACTCCGAACCTTCCTCTCAATTTATTAACATGTCATATTCATGAACCTCTATGAAGACAATAACATATGTTATGAAAGTTTAGTTGTAAACAAGCCTGAAGTAGAAAATTTCCAGTACCTTCCTCTACCTTCCTCTTCTGAGCTCCCGTCTTCCACCAATATTCATTTATCCCTGACCCTTGTGATCAGGTAATTTTGACTGAAGGTAGGTAAACATGACTCCAGAAGCAACTCTTAATGATAGAGAGGTGAAAACAGGTATATTGTTACAATCCAAGCAAAAACTGTAAGATACAGAACTTTTCTCAGTTGTGTATCATTCAGAGAAGACCACCTCATATCTCAGAGTGATTCATGATTCAAGTCTTTCCAGGAACCAGGAGTACTCTGGATCCTAAGAGATCAGAAGGATAAGCAAGGGGAAATCAAAAAACAAGAAAAAATAAAGGAAGGAGAAGAAAGGTTTTCCTGATAGTAGGCTACAGTTGTTCCTCGGTATCTGTGTGAAATTGGTTCCAGGACCTCGCTTGAGTATCAAAATCCTTGACGCTCAAGTCCCTGATATAAAATGGCAAAATACTTGCATACAGCCTATGGACATCCTCCTGTATACTTTAAATCATCTGTAAACAGTGGTATGCTGTATTGTTGAGGGAATAATAAGATTTTGAAGTGTGTACATGTTCAGTAAAGATGCAATTTTTTTCAAATATTTTCAATCTGTAGCTGGCTCAATTCACAGATGTGAAACACATACATATGAATGCAAAGGCCACCAGACAAGAAAGAGCATTAGAGAAAATGATAGTCTACAAGATTCAGATGGACATTTTTTTAAGTGGGGAGGGAGCAGTAATGGGATATATGGACCAGCTCATACAGGGCCATATTAAGGATTTTGTTCTTTATTTTAAGAAAAAACACATTTTGATCAAAGAAACAATGAAAGAGATGTATGTTTAAAGAAAAATCACAGTTTTGCAGATTGAATGAAAAGATAGTGGGGGAAAGGGAGTCAGCAATAGATGAAGGTGGCATGCTAGAAATCCAGGTGAGAAATACAGACTAGAATAATGAGATAACTAGACAAATAAATGAGAAAACTACATAGACAGAAGATGTCTTCTGGAGGTAAAACTGTGCTAGCCAATGTGCTTCTAAAACTCTGACCTCTGTTGCATTTTTCTGTTTTTTCAATTGTTTCTAGTCTCTAGAATAAAGGCCTTATTACACATTTTAAATAAAGAATTAAGGAGGTAATGCAATTCAACTTAACATGGTAACAGCTGCATTATTACATAAGACATGTGTGATGGGAAACAAATACAAAAAAGATTCTATACCTTCCCTCAAGAAGTTCACCATCTAAATAGGATTGTAGATATAATACAAGTAGCAATATAATAATGTGCAGTATGAATAAAAATACATAAAAAGAGAAAAGAGGAGCAAAATCTCAAACATAAATTTGATAAAGTGGGACAACATTATTTTTACAAAGTCTGCACTCCATGATTCAAATACTGGAAAGGGGACTAAACTGGCAATCAAAAGACACTGCTTCAGAAAAACTTCACTTACTTGGATGATGGTTTAAAAGAAATGAAAAATTCAACATTTATTCTTAAAAATATTCATGGTAAAGCAGTATGAGATACTTCATCAATACTGTAAAGGCTCAATTAATAATATGTAATGTACAACAATAAAAATGTATTTCAATAATTGGTACCATGCCTAAAAATGAAATATCTGGGCATTCTATTAAAGTCAGAAATAGGACATTACCACAGACTTAAAAAAAAAAAGCCATAAGTAATGATTAGAGGAGATGGTGAAAAAGATAAATATAAATCTTCATTTAAAAATTATTCTTGTTTGCAGATTATGTGACTGCTTACTTAGAAGATACAAGCAGATTTCCCATTAGAAAAACAAAAGAATGCAATATAGTGGTTAGATAGAGGAAATTTTAAAAACTGTCCTATTTACCAATGATTTAGAAATTGTCACACATACAAAAAGAGCCAATTCACAATAAAAATAATATAAAATTGATAGGATAATGATGTACAGAGCTAATCTGAAGCAATCTGCAAAACTTTTTTTTTTTTTTTTTTTTTTGAGGCTGGAGTGCGGTTGGCATGATCATAGCTCACTACAGCTTCAAACTCCTGAGCTCAAGTGATTCTCCCCATTTCAGCTTTTCAGCTCAGTAGGCGTGACCATAGGCACCTGCCACCATACCTGGCTAAATTTTTTCACTTTCTGTAGAGACAGGGCCTCACTATGTTTCCCAGACTAGCCTTGAACTCCTGGCCTCAAGCAAACCTCCCTCCTTGGCCTCCCAAAGTGCTGGGATTATAGGCATGAGCCTCCACACCTGCCTGATCTGAAAACATTAATAAGGGTATAAAGGGCATGAATGAGTAAGAAGATATTGTATGTTTTCTGGAAGCAAAGCTTAGTATTTCAAGGATGACAATTCTAACGTGTCTGTTCGTTTATTGGAAATTGAGTTTAAAATACCGATGGGCTATTCTGGGGAAAAGGTAACTTGAAAAACATGAGCTTTAAGTATACATTAAAGCCAGGAACATTTGAGTGATCTTTTAAACATGAATCAGGTCATGTGAGTCTTGCTCAGAAACCTCCAAGAGCCACATATTTCACGCACGGAAAGAGTCCAAACTCTAAAGACCCTACAAAAATTGGCTCTTGTAATCTGTGTGACTTCATCTCCAGCCATTCTCCCTCCCATTCCCTGTTCCAGCCAAACTGTTCTTTCTCCTTCTCAAACATGCCAAGCATACACCTGCTTCAGGACATTTACTCTTATTGTGCTCACCACCTAAACCCCTTCCCAGATATTCTGTATGCCAGATTCCATCACAAAAGACTCGCTGCTTTACTGAAATATCACTTTCTCAATGGGGTGCTCCTACTGCCATCATCTCCACTCTATTTGCCATCCATACCATGTAGTCTGTGCTACCACAGCACTATAATTTAATTACTATAATTTCATTGTTATCTTCTGTGATCTCTCTCACACCTACATAAAAACTCAAAGATCTTTGTTTTGTTCTTGAATACATCCTTAAACTAGAAGAGTGCTTGGCACAAAATACGCACTGAAAATATCTGCTGAATAAATAAACATTTTAATTTGGAGGTGGTGCTTTTCCTAGTAGTTATTCAAGTGTAATGTAAAAATACATTACTTGAATGGAGGGAGAGGGAGCAGGAGGGGGCAGTCAGGCAGCAGGAGGAGCTGGGAGCAAAAAAATATATTTAAAAAAAATAGATCTAGTATTTAAAATGGTGTGGTACAGGTGAAACAGAGGAAGGCTTCTCAATGTGTGGCTCATAAAACACATGCATCTTAATAACCAAATGTGTTTATTATAAAACTGATTCCTAGATCCCACCAAAACTTTGAATCAAAATTTCTGGAGGCAAGGCCCACAAATAGGTTTAAAAAAAAAAAAAAATCCCAGATGAAGTAACCCCTTATGCACAGTTTAAAAACCACAGGAGTGGAGCCCAGAAAGCATCCAAATGCATACAAACATTTAGTAGGTGATAACAACAAGGAACATCAAATCTGTAGAAAACAGAAGGTTTACTCAAGGAATAGTGAAGTAAAAGTCTATCCATCGGAAAAAAAAATTAAAACTTGAATCTCTACATTACACTAAAATTAAGACTGTAATTATTAAAAGAAATATGTTTATAGTTGTGTGGTAATACCACTTAAAACTTCCACTAAAGTCAGAAATTATAACAGAAGACTGCTATATTCAACTGCATAAAAATGTAAAATCTCTGTATTGCTAAAAACACCAAGATATTAGAAGACAAATGACAAACTAGGAAAAAACATGTTATCATATATGGCAAAGATTAGTATCATAATATAAAATTACATCTTATACAGCAATCTGGCAAGTTAAAAATATTATACCTTTAGACCCAGAAATGTAACATCTAAATATTTATTCTAAAGAAACTGAGACATGCACTCATGAGCGTATGAACAAAACTGTGTATCAACATTGTTTATTATGGTAAAATAAAAACCTTTGAAACTGCCTAAGGACCCACCACTAAGAAACTGACTAAAAGTAAATTTTCAGCCACTACTATGATGTGTATTTTCACAGGCTGATACAGTAAATAAAAAGACTTCCAAATAGTATAAAATAGTACAACTTCAGTTTTATAGAAATAAAAACATTTTAAAATGTATCAAATATGCCTTAAAAGATAATCTGGAAAAATTTACAACATAATGTCATAATGGCTATCTCTTAGTAGCAGAAGTAGAGATTATCTTTATTTTCTTCTTTTATAATCACATGGACAAAGAAAACTATCTAAAATAAAGTGATCTGAGCTCTAATAATAAACATTTAATAGTAAATACCTAATTTTTACCATTAGTTTTTACTATTAGTAAGGCAGTTACACTATAGTAAGGCAGCTCTATCTACCTAATCTATTTTGAATATTTGGTTAAAGACATTATCTTTAATTCTGACATAACCCTAGAAAGGGTTATTATCCCCAAATTACAGATAGGGAAACTAAAGCTTCAAGAGGGTAAGTGATTCGCACAAGATCACATCACTGAGTAAGGATTTAAACCCCTGCTGTTCTAGTTCTGCTGTGACTGGAAAGGAAAACAGCCACTCATATCACACTCTCAGCTTCACTTATATAAAAATAAGAATATTTGAAGTAAATATTCTCCATCAATTATATTTTTCATTTTCTACAATTTTCTATGTCTAAATATAAGCTCATAGCACTTACTGAAAAAAGCAGATTCCATCATCATGCCCCTGACACCTACAAGGAAACAAATCACAAAATCTGTAATATATTTCACAAAATAAACATGCTGACCTTGTCTACATATCCCTTCACATTATTCCCTATACCTCTCAAGACATGGTCTGGCTCTGTGTCCCCACCCAAATCTCATCTTGAATTGTAATCCCCACATGTCAAGGGAGGAACCAGGTGGGAGGTGACTGGATGATGGGGGTGGTTTCCCCCAAGCTGTTCTTGTGATAGTGAGTTCTCACGAGATCTGATGGTTATATATGTGTTTGACAGTTCCCCCTTAACACGCTCTTGTCTCCCTCCTGTCGCCTTGTGAGGAAGGCGCCTACTTCCCCTTCGCCTTCTGTCATGACTGTAAGTTTCCCGTGGCCTCCTAGCCATGCTTTCTGTTAAGCCTGTGGAACCGTGAGTCACTAAATCCCTTTCTTTTATAATTACCCAGTCTCAAGTAGTATTCTTTATAGCAGTGTGAGAACGGACTAACATACCTCATTACACCCCAAAATGTTCGGCAATCCAGTATCTAATGGAAATACACTAGAACTTACAAGAAGCTTTTTAACTATAAGCAATACTAGATTCAAATCAGTGTCACAGTCCTCAAAGTAGCAAGAAAACCGTGGTTTAAAACAACGCATGACAGCGAGGGACTTACAAAGCTACAAACCATGGTCCTTAAAGAAAAAACAGACAATGAAGAAATAAAAACAGCTATCAGCAGAGAAATTTTAATCTATAAACTTTTCATCTGCAAAGTTAAACTGAATAAAAACAGCAAAGATGTACAGGAGACATTTCCCATCGCTATTAGGAAATGGGCATAGATAAGAATTTTCAAGTGTTTCCAAGATCCCCAAACTCAAACCATCCTACCACTGCTTATCCATCGACATCAGTGGCTTTTACATCAGACAAAGGTGGAGTAAATCAAACATACCACCCATGGCTTCTTGAGTAGCATGAGGAATGAAATAAGAATTTTTTTTTTTTTTTGAGACGGGGTCTCGCTCTGTTGCCCAGGCCAGAGTGCAGTGGCACAATCTCTGGTCACTGCAACCTCTGCCTCCCCGGCTCAAGCAATTCTCATGCCTCAGCCTCCCAAGTGGTGGGAATTACAGGTGCCTGCCACCACGCCAGGTTAACTTGTGTGTGTGCATGTGTGTGTGTGTGTGTGTGTGTGTATTTTTAGTAGAGATGGGGTTTCAGGATGTTGGCCAGGCTGGTCTCAAACTCCTGACCTCAAGTGATCCACCGGCCTCAGCCTCCCAAAGTGCTGGGATTACAGGCATGAGCCACCGATTCTGGCCAGAATAAGAAATGTTAACTTAATGAATGTAAACCAACCAACACTCATTCCCAGAAAGATGTATTTATGGAACATGCATGGAGTATTATGGACAGTATATGAACTCAGTGATGCTGGTGTCCACTGGACTATGACAACTTCAGAAAGCTTCAAATTAATCCCTTAAAACAAGTAAAGCTTTTTCACTCCATAGATAAATAACCACAAAAACATACCTTCTTTAGCAATAAAATCGGCTTTACCCTGTAAGAGCTCATACTGAACTAGGTATCGACTTTACATCTAGAAATTTCAGGAACTTCTGTAAGTGAACATGAACTGAGTAAATTCCAAAGGATTAATTGGGGTCAAAAATTTCTTCTTCATCCATAAATCCCAAACTTTACAGCATGTCTCTAAAGCTATGTATTTTATATATTTTTATACAAAAATGTACATTTCTCAAAGGGTGGAAATGTAAGAAACAGAGCAGTGTATGACATGCATAAAAATCAAAAGGCCAGGCACGGTAGCTTATGCCTAATCCTAACACCTTGGGAGGCTGAGGAGGATCACTTGCAGCCAGGAGTTTGAGACCAGCCTGAGAAGCATAGCAAGACCCTGTCTCTACAAAAAAAAAAAAAAAAAAAAAAAATTAGATGGGCATGGTGGCACACACCTATAGTCTTAGCTACTAGAAAGTCTGAGTGGGGAGAATCGCTTGAGCCCAGGAGTTTGAGGTTGCAGTGAGCTATGATCACACCACTGCACTCCATGCTGGGTGACAGACAGAGACTCCCGTCTCAAAAAATCAAAAAAACAGAACTTAGGCAGTTGTAAGGAACCTAAAAGATCTAGACTAATCTGACACACTACACAATACTTACTCCTTTTGCAAAGATGCATGGATGATCAATCTTTTCACTCTCCATTTGAAAATAACTATAGGAAGCTCCCAATTTCACAAGATAGTCCATTCCATCATCAAACAAATCACATCAGTAGGAAGTTCTCTTTTGTATAGAAACAAAACTTACTCCCCCACCTTTTTTTACTTTCATCCACTGATTCTAGTTTTACTTTCAGGGACAAAAGAGTCTAAGTTTACTCCCATTATTATATGAGGTTTTCAATTATTTGAAGATAACTAATATTTCAGTGATCAACTCTTCTCCAAGTTCAACCTGACCAGTTCCTACAACTTGTCCTCATTTAATGTAGTTTCTAAATATATCATCACACTGGTGGGTTATGAATTTATCACAATGGTTACATATGTACTGGAAAAGAATAAATAATAACCTTTGAGATATGGATGTTTAGGTGATGAGCTAGGCTCACCCACTAGCAAAGTGATTCACTGTTTTCTCTTTTAAGGTATTATCTACTTTACAATTACATATTCTGAATGAAGATCTATAGAGTTCACAAGTAGTTATTTTTAAGTTATAAGAGATGTTAAATTTCTACTCATTCATTCTAAATTGTGGTTTGGCAAACAAGGGCTTTTGATTATCAAAGAAAACAGTTTGCTGATCCACATATACGCTTACTATCTCTATTAGTACACTGCCTAACCAAATGTCCTAAGTAGCCCCAAGCTAAAAATCACATTTTTAAAATCTCTTATCTTTAGATAAGATAGATTTAATGGTCTAACTCAATTATAATTATCTCCACAAAAAACAATGGATTTTTAAAAATCTAACGCAAAGATGATATCCATGTCAATTCTGGATAAGGATATAGATAAGGTTATCTTTTCTGTACCTTTCTGTATTTTTCAAATGTGTAAGAGTAAACAAGCAACTCATCTATAAGCTAAATAATCAATCTACTGCCAATACCCTTCTGGCTATCATGAGAATCTGAATAGTGTTTTTGGAGATTTTCATTAACTTGCTGGAGGGATTCATGAAGAGATTCTGACAAAAAACATTATTATACTATTGTGTTCCTTTAAGGAGGCAAATGAGGTATTTCTCTTCCAACTTATATTACCTACACTTTAAGAATCAGTGTTGATTACTGATATCAATGATCCCTAAAAATAAAGAAAAAGATGACTTCCCAAACAAATCATTTCCCTTTAAAGACACTGGGGTTACCAGGGGCAAAATTATAGGAAAAAATTGACCAAGGCAACATTCAGTGGAAACAACACTGAACTTACAGTCATGAAGACCAAGTTTCCACTGAGACTGACACATGCAACTGTAATAGTTCCAGCAAGTTATTTTATCATTCCAAGATGTAGCACCCTCATCTATAAAATTAAGGAAGAAAAGATGCTAATCAAAGCCCTCTCCTAATCCAAACTTCTTTGATTCCATGAAACACTGAAGACTCCTAAAATTATCCTAGATAGTCCCCCATAAGTGTTTGTCATGTATTACCTAGTTCTTATTCTACATTAGGAACTTTTAATGTCTCCTTGCAATGAATTACTACTACTACTACCACTAATATTAACACGCACTCAACACTTCAGTATTTGCTATGTGCAGATATGGTTCAATGCTTTACAAGGATTATATTTAATCCTGATGATTATCCTCATTTTACAGATGAGGAAACTATGGCTTACAGAAGTCCAGAACCACATAACTGGTAAGTAAAAGAGCTGGACCTTGATCTGGGCAGAAGCAACTCAAAAGTACCAATGGAAGTTTACTTCAGAGGTTGTGATTAGAATAGGATAGCACTGTTTGGCACAAAACCACATACACACATCCTCTTTTGATTGAGATGCTAATTTGCAACCTGATAAGATTAAGAAAACAAGAAATAATATTCTGCATCCACTCTTAAGACTAAATTTTAGTAAACAATCTAAATTGCAGAGCTATAGCCTACATAAATCATGGCCTTTGACTCATACTGGTAATTGCTCTACAGAGAAAATTCAACCATATTTAAAGTACAACAATAAGAAAATGTGGTAGAATTCTTCTTGGTCACTGACTAACATTCAAATATGGTACGATCATATCGTGGGTGTACCATAGTTGTAGTATTTGTGGGTACCACATCCACAGATTCAATCAACCTTGGATGCAACCAACCTTGGATCAAAAATGTAGTTAGGAGGCTGGGCATGGTGGCTCACGCCTGTAATCCCAACACTTTGGGAGGCCTAGGAGGGTAGGTCATGAGGTCAGGAGTTCGAGACCAGCCTGACCAACATGGTGAAACCCTGTCTCTAGTAAAAATACAAAAATTAGCCAGGCATGGTGGTGTACGCCTGTAATCCCAGCTACTCAGGAGGCTGAGGCAGGAGAATCACTTGAACCCAGGAGGCAGAGGTTGCAGTGAGCTAAGATTCCGCCACTGCACTCCAGCCTAGGCGACAGAGTGAGACTTCATTTCACAAAAAAAAAAAAAAACAGTGTAGTTAGGTTATAATGGTTGTGTTTGTACTGAACATGTACAGACTTTTTTTTCTTTGTCATTCTTCCTTTAGAAATGCCGTATAACTATTTACACAGCATTTGCATTGTATTAGGTATCATAAAAAACCCAGAGATGATTTAAAGTATATGGGAGGATGTGTGTAGATTATACGCAAATACTATATCATTTTATATAATGGACTTGAGCATCCATAGATTCTGGTATTTGGTCAGGGGTCATCCTAAAACCAATCTCCCACAAATAACAGTAAGTGTTAATCTGTAATGTACACAAAAAGTATACAAAAAGGAGTGATAATTTCTTTCTTTTTTGGAGGAGGAGACAGGGTCTCTCTGTGTCATCCACGCTGGAGTGCAGTGGCACAACCATGGCTCACTGCAACCTCCAGCTCCCAGGATCAAGCAATCCTCCCACCTATGCTTTCAGAGTAGCTGAGACTATAGGCTCGCACCACCACACCAGGCTAATTTTTTAAATCTTTGGTAGAGACAGGGTTTCATCTTATTTCCCAGGCTGGTCTCAAACTCCTGGGCTCAAGCAATCTGCCCACCTGGACCTCCCAAAGTGCTGGGATTACAGGTATAGGCCACCACTCCCAGCCAGGAGTAATAATTTCTAAGAGCTCTCTAGTAACAAACATGAATTTCTGTCTTGAGAGTTTTCTGTTTTCATTACTGCTAGTGAATAAACACACACACAAATAGTTCTACCTTCTCTTATTTCTTACCTGTTTTCATTTATAAAATTTGATGTTAAATATCTAAGATATAATTAATCCTATATTACTTGCCATTAATACATCCTTACATTAATTTAAACAAATTAACAAGCAAAAAACAAATATCCCCATTAAAAAGTAGGCAAAGGGTATGAAGACACTTAAAAAAAAAAAGACATACATGAACAAGCATAAACACATGAAAAAATGCTCAACATCACTAATCATTAGAAGAATCCAAATCAAAACCAAAAGATACCATTTCACACCAGCAGAATAGCTATTCTTAAAAAGTCAAAAAATAACAGATGCTGGCAAGGATATGAAGAAAAGGGAATGCTTATACACTGCTCATGGGAATGTAAATTAGTTTAGCTTCTGCAGAAAGCAGTTTGGCGATTTCTGAAAGAAGTTAGAATTATTATTCAAGCCAGCAACTTCATTACTGGGTAAGTACCCAACGGAATATAAATCATTCTACCATAAAGACACATGCACATGTATGTTCATCACAGCATTATTCACAATAGAAAAGACATGGAATCAGCCTAAATGCCCATCAATGGCAGACTGGATAAAGAAAACATGGTACATGTACACCATGGAATACTACACAGCCATAAAAAGGAATGAGATCATGTCCTCTGCAGCAACATGGATGGACCTGGAAGCCATGGGTATCCTAAGTTAACTAATGAATGAATAGAAAACCAAATATCTCATGTTCTCACTTATAAGTGGGAGCTAAACATTGAGTACACATGGACACAAAGAAGGGAACAGACACCAGGGCCTACTTGAGGGTGGGAGGAGGGAACAGATCAAAAAAACCACCTATTGAGTATTATGCTTATTACCTCAGTGACGAAATAATCTGTACATCAAACCCCGTGTCATAAAATTTACCTATATAACAAACCTGCACGTGTAACCTTGAACCTAAAAGTTTTAAAAAGTCCTTATACTGACACAAGAAATTTTAATAAATTTACTTCTCTTAATGTAGAAGCAAAGATAAGCTTTATGAATATTACTATCATTTTTTATAAAGATAGACCCCAAACTATCATGATGACCCAGAAAAGAAATGCACACCAAGCATTAGCCTGCTATTATAAACTAGCACAAAAATATATCCACCTCTTTTTACTTGTGGATACTGATCACTAACCTAACACAACTTTATAGACCAGAAGAATGTTCCATAAGTTAGTAAAATGATACTGCCATAAGACTTCTTTAGGATAAACTACAGTGTTTCATAAATCAGGCAAAAACTTTAAAAGGACAGGCTCAAAATGTGTAAGTCAAAAAATGTTTAAACAGAATAGACTTACTCACCAAATCCTGAACATGAGAATTAAAATGATACTTGAAAGCCTGAACAAAATACATCCACAATAGGAAGAGTATTTCACATTGTAGGTAGCATAAAAATTAGATTTAAATCCACCTTATAATATTTATTACGCCTTGGGTGAGTCAATTTAAGTCTGTTTGCTCACCTGAAACATGGGAAAAATAAGACCAACTCATGAAGCTACTGTGAGAATTAAACGCAACAACATAAAGTGCTTAACTGTGGTTAGCAAATATGTATCATTTAATGAGTGTATAATGTTACAATTATGAAACAATATCATTTAACGGGTGTATAGTATTACTCTAATTATGAAATGATAGTGCACTAAAAGGAGGTACATGTAAACAAATGCTATATATATAACACTTCCGCATATTTATATAATATAAAAATCCTAAGTCATTTGAATTAATGGATAATGACATAATTTACAATTGTTATACACCTACCTCTACCCCTTAAATATGTATCTAGGGAAAAAGAGCCACAGTAAAAAAAAAAAAAAAAAACATTCACAGCACAATGTCTCCTAGTACATATGCAAATACTCACATACCAGCAATGTTTGGCACACTGCCTTACACATAGCAAGCATATGATAAATATTTCTGGCACTGCAATGACTATTTTTTGCATTGAAATAACTGTATCTATTATTAATAAATAATTTTCTTGAATCTATTTTAATTAGATTGTGTCCTGTCCTTGTCCGGCAAGACAAATGACAAAATTAATGGAAAAGCAAATGTTAAGAAAGGAATACTACAGTACCACAGGAGAGTAAGTGGAAAGAACCCAGACTCCACAATAAGAAGGTCCAAGTTTACATCCCAACTGGATCACCTTACCTGGGTATTGTGAATAAGACTTTTAACTTCAGCTTAGTTTTCTCCAACTGTAAAGAGGGTTAATAACACCACCAGCGGCGGGGTGCACTGGCTCACGCCTGTAATCCCAGCACTTTGGGAGGCCGGGGTGGGTGGATCACGAGGTCAGGAGTTCAAGACCAGCCTGACGAACATGGTGAAACCCCGTCGCTACTGAAAATACAAAAATTAGCTGGGCATGATGGTGCGCACCTGTAGTCCCAGCTACTTGGGAGGCTGAGGTACGGGAATTGATTGAACCTGGGAGGCAAAGGTTGCAGCAAGCCAAGATCACGCCATTGCACTCCAGCCTGGGAGACAGAGCAAGATTCTGTCTCAAAATAATAGTAATAATAATACCACCAGCCTCATCCCAAAGCCAATTAGCACATCTAGCACCCATAGAGTAGTTTCTAAATACAATTCTCCAATAAAAGGAACTAGAGCTTCTTTAAGTAATGGGATGGTTCCAAAGCTGGGCAAGAAAAGCATGAGATGAGCCTGGAGCATCTTATGATACCAGAAAGGACGTGCTGAAAAAATGAAGGGATATGTCAAAAGGACATAGAAACAGACTTCACGGGGTTCCCAATGGCCAAGTCTGGGACAACAGAGCATAAAAATGATGACAGTGATGGATTATAATTGATACTAATACTTAAATAAATGTGAGAAAATAAGGCTCTTCTATAAAATTCCAATTAATAAAAGCAGAAGGAATGACGGAAGTAGAAAAAAAATCATTTGGCAAACATCACAGTAATTGTTGCAGGCAAGAATCATCAGCAGATGCTAAAAATAGTAACAAGTGAATGACAGAAAATAGGATATTTATTAGTCTCAAACTATCTTTTCAAAAGATGCTTATTACAAAGTGAACAGTTACAAAACCTGGCAAAACAAACATCTTCTTAACCAAATGATGAAAATTTACCAGTAATGGGATATATCAACACCATCCACCTGTTGAACTGATGCACAAGGATACCATCACTCTATAGTATTGTTGCCAAAAACATGTAAGTTGAATTTAGGAACATTCTACAAAATTCCTGGCCAGTACTCTTCAAAAGTGTCAAGGTTATAAAAGACAGGCTGAACAGCTGTTTCACCTTAAAGGAGACTAAAGAGACATGACAACTTAATGCAACATCATTTATCATATCCTGAACTGGAAAAAGGACATTAGTGGAACAACCGGTGAAATTTCAATAATATCAATAGATACGAATATTGCCAGTTGATAATAATATTGTATAGATCCTAGTTTCCTGATTTGGCTATGTAAAACATTTTAGGAAGCTGCCTGAAGGATATGTGCATTCTTTGTATATTTTTTCTTACTCCTGTAGGTCTAAAATTATTTCAAAGTGAGAATAAATATATATGTAGTTTCATAAATCTCACAACTGCTTTGAGAATCACATGAGATAATGCACATAAAGGTGCTCTGTAGATTCTAAAGTAATACACAAATGTTAGCAGCTTTCATTATCATTTCCGACTCTGGTGCTGCAAGATACCTGACACTTCCTGTTGGCAGTTCCCCCCAGTACACCTTCCAGTCTGTGGGAAGAAACAAAATTGTTAACTGGTCCTACATGTAGAATTTTGGTTCTAAACCAAGGGTATCCAAGGGTGCTTAAACTTCTACTCTAAAGGGAAAAACTTTTTCTAAAAATGTAGTCTGACCATTTAAAAATGAATCCTGTCTCCCTGTCACTGTGATCTTAAAGTAGACTCTAAGCATAAGAATTTTCTGAATAAACACAGCAATATGAGGAGGACTCGCTCATAATTACCAATAATGGCCACATATCTTTGAATAACTCTTTAATATGTGATAGTGAAAAAGTTCTCAAGATTATCTAGGTTGTCAAAATAGAAGTAGTGACGGGATTATTTAAACATGCTTGTCTGTCATTTCTTGTCTTAGCAAGTCTTTAGTATAAATAACTGAAGGGAAAGGGAGAAATAAACATAGTTCAGTAGGTTCATGACAACTTATTTAAGGAGTCGGGAACCACCACCGTGTTCTTCACCTAAAATCCTCCCTTCGTCTTCCAATCAGAAATCCGGGCAGTTTGGGCCATTTACATGATTTAGAATGACACATCTCATACATCTCATGCCAGACCCAACTGGGCTAATTATCATTTAGCTACAAATTATCATTTAAATTTAAATTATCATTTAGCTACAAATTATCCATTTTCAAGCTCTTGCTAGTGAAGGGAATAATTTTTTTAAAAACACTAAAGTCCTACACATCCTATAGGAAAAAAACTATTATTCATATATATATATATATATATATATATATATATATATATTAATAATACATAAAAATAAAAATTAAGGCTAAGGTTAAAAAAACTTAGTTCATGATATTCATTTGATCCTGAGCTCTATGTTGTTAACAGACAATAAATCTTTAACCCTTCTTACACAATCTATCATGCCATACAAACTTCAAAGTGAATCAAAAACAGTTAAGATTGTAGCTACTTAGATCACAAGACTACTACTGAACTATAAAGTTAAGTATAACACATAAAGATGTTTCTTCAAAATGAGGTAATTTACACATGGTGAAAGGTAGGGGTCCAGTTTCATTCTTCTGCATATGGCTAGCCAGCTATCCCAGCCATATACAAAAATTAACTCAAGATGGATTAAAGATTTAAATGTAACACCACAAACTATAAGAATCGTAGAAGAAAACCTAGAAATCACCATTCAGGACATGGGCCTTGGAGAAGAATTTACGACTAAGTCCTCCAAAGCAATTGTAACAAAAAAATTGACAAGTGGGACCTAATTAAACTAACAGCTTCTGCACAGCAAAGGAAACTATCAACAGAGTAAACCTACAGAACGGGAGAAAATATTCATAAACTATGCATCCAACAAAGACATAATATCCAGAATCTATAAGCAATTTAAATAACTGAACAAGCAAAAAACAAATAACCTCATTTTAAAAAGGGCAAAAGACATAAACAGACACTGCTCAAAAGAAGACATACAAGTTGCCAACAAACCTAAGGAAAAATGCTCCATATCACTAATAATCAGAGAAATACAAAACAAAATCACAATGAGATATGCCATCTCACACTAGTCAGAATGGCTATTATTATAAAGTTAAAAAATAACAGACTCTGGCAAGGTTGCAGAGAAAAAGGAACACTTACACAATGCTGGGAATGTAAATTAGTTCAGCCACTGTGGAGAGCAGTTTGGAGATTTCTCAAATAACTTAAAACCAAACTACCATTCGAGGTCGGGCACAGTGGCTCACACCTGTAATCCCAGCACTTTGGAAGGCTGAAGCAGGCAGATCACCTGAGGTCAGGAGTTCGAGACCAGCCTAGCCAACATGGTGAAACCCCTGTCTCTAGTGAAAATACAAAAATTAGCTGGGCGTGGTGGTTGGTGCCTGTAATCCCAACTACTTGGGAGGCTGAGGCAGGAAAATGGCTTGAACCTGGGAGGCAGAAGTTGCAGTGAGCCAAGATTGCACCACTGCACTCCAGCCTCAGCAACAGAGCAAGACTTCATCTCAAAAAAAAAACCTAGCATTCGACCCCTACAATCTCATTATTGGGTATATATCCTAAAGAAAATAAATTGTTCTACCAAAAAGACACGTGCACTCATGATCACTGAAGCAAAGACATGGAATCAACCCAGATGCCCATTAACAGTGGGTTAAAGAAATGTGGTACATATATACCATGGAATACTATGCAGCCACAAAGAAGAACAAAATCATGTCCTTTGCAGCAACACGTATGCAGCTGGAGGCCATTATCCTAAGTGAATTCAGGCAGGAACAGAAAACCAAATACCACTGTTCTTACAAGGGGGAGCCAAATATTGGGTACTCCTGGACATAAAGATGGGAACAATAGACACTGGGGACTACTATATGGCAGGAAGGAGGGAGGGAAGTAAGGGTTGAAAAACTATTGGGTACTATGCTTACTACCTGGGTGACAGGTTCAGTCATACCCCAAACCTCTGCATCATGAAATATGCCTTTGTAACAAACCTGCACATGTACTCCCCAAATCTAAAATAAGAATGGAAATTTTTTTAATGAAATAATTTTTATTTTCAGCAGTTTTTCTCACTCTCCTGGGAAAAATGTATTTCCTCTAGCAGGGAATCAATATCTCTAAGTCCTTTTTTACCAAAGAACCAATCAATCATTTACTTCTAACATTAGGTTGAGAACTGCACGATGGAAAGATCTAGATTTTATTCATCTCTAAAGCCTACTGTCCTAACACCTGGAACAGAGTAAGCTTCAAAAATGTTAGTTTCTATCCTTTCTCTAACATATAATAAGTGCTCAATAAATGTTAGCTGTCTCTATTTCATTAAGTATCAACATTAATGACTGTCAAACCTAAGAGCAATGTAAAATCCAGGAGATGGACTAAATGTGACTACTAAGAAATGCTGCAACATCCTGATCTCCATCTGTTTGGCTGTTTCTATTAGCCCAGCATTCCAATGCACATGTGTGATTGATCCTTTAGGGTCTGCTGCACTGAAACATTTAATTACCACTAAAATATGCAGCATACACATGACTTTGAATTAAAAGACATTTCCTTACTGAAACAGGTCTAAACACTATTTTCATAGAATCTAAACACTTTAACATCTGACATTTAGATAATATCACACTTTGGCATGATACACGGATAATTAGGTATTTATTATTGGGTCTAATGACTTTGTCGCTCAATAATTATTAAGTAAATTCTCATATCACCAGAAGAATCATTTTTATATAATATTTATCTTTAAAAACCCAGTGTCTAAAAGGTAAAATAAAGCAAAACAAACAAATGAACAACAATCTATGGTTCATCTAGCAGATCATAAAGATGATTAGCTTTACAAAGCACTACCTCAAAGGTATCAACAAGAAATGTTTAAAGAAAACATTTCACTCAGTTCAAGAGACATATGTACAAAAGCTGATATATGAAGATTAGTATACTAATTAGTATATATACATACATACATACATTTTTTTAATTTAAAATTCAACAAGTATTAAGAAAGGAATAACTTCTCAATTTAATTTAATGCTGATTTGGTTTGGCTCTGTGTCCCCACTGAAATCTCAGGTCGAGTATGTAATCCCCATGTGTTGAAAGAGGGGCAGACTACCCCCTCGCTGTTCTTGTGATAGAGTTCTCAGATCATCTAGTTGTTTGAAGTGTGTAGCACTTCCCACTTGGCTCTCTCCTGCTCTGCCTTGCTAATACTTGCTTCCCCTTTGCCTGCCACCATGATTGTAAGTTTCCTGAGGCCTCCCTGCCAAGCTTCCTGTATAGCCTACAGAACTGTGAGTTAATTAAACCTCTTTTCTTAATAATTACCCATCTCAGATGGTTCTTTATAGCAGTGAGAACAGACTAATATAAATGCCATGTCTGTGAAACAACTAAAATTATCTTACATACCAGTGGCAAATTCCACATTTTGGAAAAAGCTATGCTACCTCAAGTTACCTCTCCATGAAAAAACAATTAGAAACTTTCTTCAGCAGAGTGAATGGAGAACATGTCATAGTTTTCAAAAAAGGTGTTGGGCTTGAAGGAATAGAAATGTTCCAGATTTGGGCTGGGCATGGTGGCTCATGCCTGTAATCCCAGTACTTTGGGAGGCCGAGGCAGGCAGATCACCTGAGGTCGGGAGTTCATGACAGCGTGGCCAACATGGTTGAAACCCCGTCTCTATTAAAAATACAAAATTAGCCGGGCATGGTGGCACACGTCTTTAATCCCAGCTACTCGGGAGGCTGAGGCAGGAGAATCACTTGAACCTGGGAGGCAGGGGTTGCAGTGGTCTAAGATCGTGCCACTGCACTCCAGCCTGGGAGACAGAGCAAGACTCTGTCTCAAAAAAAAAAAAAAAAAAAAGAAAGAAAGAAATGCTCCAGATTTGTGCCATCCAATACAGCAGTCAACACTGGCCACTTGTGGCTATATAAATTAAATAAAATTTAAAATTTAACTCCTCAGTCACTCAAACCACTTCAAGTACAGCCAAATAACTATATAGTAGCTACCATAGTGGATACCACAAACAGAATGTTTCCATCATCACAGAATGTTCTATTGTACTCACTGCTTTAGATTCTCAAAGAATTCTAATAAAGCCCAACTGGCAGCAAATGGAAGTAAAAATTTTAGCAGATAACAAAGGTAGTATCTTTCAGTAAAGTAACAAACATTTGGAAAAAACAGTGAGAGACAATGAATTAAATGCTAGTAGTAAGGGCCAGGCATGGTGGCTCACACCTGTGATCTCAGCACTCTGGGAGGCTGAAGTGGGAGGACCACTTGAGCTCAGGAGTTGAGACCAGCCCGGCTGGCCAACAAAATCAAGACCCTGTCTCTACAAAAAAATTTAAAAATTACTGGGCATGGCGGCAGGCACCTGTAGTCCAAGCTACTCAGGAGGCTGAGACAGATTAATCACTTGAGCCTGACAGTTCGAGGTTAGCGTGCTGTGATTGTGCCACTGCACTCCAGCCTGTGTAACAAAGTGAGAGACACTGTCTCTTAAAAAAAAGTTAGTACTGGCTGGGTGCGGTGGCTCACGCCTGGAATCCCAGCACTTTGGGAGGCTGAGGCGGGCAGATCACAAGGTTAGGAGATCCAGACCACCCTGGCTAACACACGGTGAAACCCCGTCTCTACTAAAAATACCAAAAAAATTAGCCAGACATGGTGGTGGGCACCTTAGTCCCAGCTACTCAGGAGGCTGAGGCAGGGGAATAGCGTGAACCCGGGAAGCGGGGCTTGCAGTAGCCGAGATCGCGCCACTGCACTCCAGCCTAGGCGACGGAGCGGGACTCTGTCTCAAAAAAAAAAAAAAAAAAGAAAAAAGTTAGTACTATAAATATGATTTCTGTTTCTACAACTCCTTTATAATCTGATGATTTCAAAGACTGAAAATGTACTGAGGTAGATAGGAATCCCTCTCCAACTAAGATGATATGGTTACTATTAAGGAATGAACAGTAAAAACTTAGAAAACAAGGTTAAGAGACTGAAGCCATACACTTTTAACACAACCTGTGAAAAATCTTTTAATTACCTTACTTTCATTAACATAAAGCAATAAGGAAAGTATGCTCAAATAACACAGTATTAACAATATCTTTTTAAATGATGGGTCCTGTATGATGATTTATCATTTACTATACCCTGGTCACTTTTAAATGTTTAGGCTATTCCCCCACCCCCTACATGGTCTCAACATCCTTGTGAATTTGTTTGGGAATGACTGGTAGTCACAAGGGTAAGTGTATCACGCACACACATAACTTTTCACAAAACAACTTAGACTTACTGTGACAACACACAGGCTGACTTTGGTATTCTATTCCATTCTACATGGAAACATAATGCTGATGGAGACCCATTGCCATTGAAAAATTCCCTGTTCTAAACTACTGTGAAGTATTTGGGATGTTGTTCTCCTCTAAGGATGTACCTCCGTGTTGGTAGTGAAGATTCACATTTATGTTCAGCTTATTTCATGAAAATAAGAGATAATACTAAAAGGCATAGGATACTCACAAGAGTGGGTTTCAAGGCTGAGCTGTGAGGGACTGCAGAAGAATTCAGAATTGAATTGCTGTAGCTAGAGTAGAGACAGCAAATGTTATTACATCATTGCTTTTTCAGATGTCTTCACTGAAGTGCTCCAAATGATATAGCAATGTATTGCAAATTAATCTTTTATAAGTATATAATTATTTGTAAATCCAGTAAACTAACTCAGAGTTATGTGAACACTGAATTCTAATCACTAGGACAGTTGTTTTCCCAATATGAAATGTTTTTAATTATGTGTATTAGGAAAAGATGGAAAGCTTTTTAAACACTAAATCTTTTCATATGTATATCCTATGGGCATACGTGCGTGTATGTACACTGCTGATGTCAAAGTGTCAAAATGCAGAATGTGTTTGTTACTGTGATGCAGTCAAAAAGTCTGAAAGCCATTGTTTTAGGGCATAGGCTTTGGAATCATAAGACTTTACCAAGTATGTAATCTTTGCCAAGTCATTTAACTTTCCTGCACCTCAGTTTCCTTGGCTTTGTAAATGGGAGTAGTAACATTATAACAAACACTTACATGGTTATTATAAAGACTAAATGCATGAAATGATTTTAGGCCAATGCTGTTACTTACTCATATATGAGCTGTCATTTAATTATGTACTGAGAGCTACATAAAACCACAAGGTACCAAAGAACAAAAAAGGAATCTAAGAAATTTAAGAACAAATTTCATTACAAATAATCCACGATAGAAAAAAATGTGAATTTTCAGAAGTGGCAGTTCATATTAAGAATTTTAAAAAACCACTTGTACTCTTTGACACACTTATCCCACTCCTGTAAATTTATCTTAAGAAATTTTACTAAAGAGAAGAAAATATTTATATGCAAAAAGATGCTCCTTAAAAATGTTATTTGTAATAGCAAAGAGCTGGAAACCTAAAGTGTTCTTTAAAGAGATAACAAGTAGGTAAACTTTTGGTAAAACAATGTGAAATATTACAGTACTAAAATGATTATTTAAAAACTAGATATACGCCTAAGTCTTTATATTAAGTATATCAGGTGATATACTTAATCAGGTAAATAATATGTGTATGTACACAAGCAAAAATGTGTATGGAACTAGATGCAGTTGAAAGCTGTGCTGGGTTTTTAGTTGATTTCTTTTGATGTAATTATTGCTCATTGTTTTCCTAAAGGATTTTAGCTTACTTTCATTTTTTTCCTTATACCACCTGACTAAATCTGAGATAGGGTAAATGCAAAAATTGGATGATCTGCTATTAGCCAGTAATTGTAAGTCAAATTATGCTTCTTATGTGTTATATGCTAGGGCCTAGTACACAAAACACAGTTCGGACTCAAAAGCAGTAGAGTCTATATACAACATCCAATAATTTTTTTTTTTTCTTTTTGGCTCACTTAGAAGCTCAGTTTGCTTGCTCTTCAAGTATCAAGACTAGGAAACATTGCTAAGGAAAACTAAGGTGGCTAGAAGCCAGTCTGTCTCATCCATCTCTCGCCACTCTCCTTCTCTTTAAAAATGATAATACAAAGTTGAAGAATATCCTGTTTGTTTGTTTGTTTGTTTGTTTGTTTGTTTTTTGAGACAGAGTCTCACTCTGTTGCCCAGGCTGGAGCACAGTGCACGATCTTGGCTTACTGCAACCTCAGCTTCCCGGGTTCAGGCATTTCTCATGCCTCAGACTCCCGAGTAGCTGGGACTACAGGCATGCACCACCATGCCTGGATAATTTTTTTGTATTTTTAGTAGAGAAAGGGTTTTGCCATGTTGCCCAGGCTGGTCTCCAACTCCTGAGCACAGGCAACCTGCCCACCTCGGCCTCCTAAAGTGCTAGGATTACAGGCATGAGCCACCGTGCCTGGCCCTAATTTGATACATCATTTAAGGCTGTTATATGTTCTTAACTGTTACTAAGTTAATTAAGTTTGATTTTTGGATCCAATAACCTTCATCAAGAGAAAAAGTATGTGCATTCTTCATCATATTTTTAAGTCCCTGATTTATGCTCATTTAAGATTTTGATTCATACATAACTCATTCCTAAACCAAGTTTCTGATTATGTGTCCAAGGCAATTATTTTTGAATTAACAAATTATACAGTTTTTTCAGAATGCTAGGACTAAACATCAGGCTAAAGCAAAATGTAAACGTATTTTTGCTTTAGCTTTTAATGACCATAAAACTTAACTAAACATGAGCATACAGACCATCAGCTGTCCAAATTACAGTTAACAGACTAAATCAAGAACAATGAATTTCTAGCTGGCAGAAATAGTGCGTCCATCTAATAGGAATCTTAGTTTAATTACAGCTGCAAAAAAATTAAATTCTAAACCTTTAATAACTTAATAATTCCCCTAAGCTGAAAAATCTTCCTCTCCCATTCTCTCCCACGAAAATAGATTTCTGCTTGCCATACAACAATATTTGAAAGTTCCTGGATTGAACTGTAAGATGTTTTTTTCCATTAAAAATGATGGCAAGACACCGAATCTACTTAGACTTCCAAACTGTGCTCAGGTATTAAAATTATTTTAATAAGTTCTAGAAATATACTCCTTTTATAACTAAATAGTTGTATTAAAAATTAAAAAAAAAACTACTTAGAGCTAGTTGTTTGTCTTATTAACCTACTCAAGACTAGTTACATCTACCTCTTCAGTCTGCCCAGAACATGGAAGAAAATTTTCACAATATAAATTTTTTTCTAATGTTGGAATTTTTAGATTTTAAGTTTTTCTGAAAAGTTGCTTTCTAACATTTAAAATGAAACACAATTTTTCTTAGTAGGTTAATAATCCTTTTTAAAAAGCGACCCCACCTTCAGGCTAAATGAAAATGAGCACTGATTATTTTATAAACATAGTACCTTCCTTCTGAAGAACTAAAAGTTCTGTTTAATATTCTTTTATCTCTAATCAAAAAATGTTATTGTAGGGAGAGAGGTTACATTCAGAGGTTGTATCCCTCTGAAGTAGGGACATATTATCCTGGTTTTATAGATAAAAGGCAAGGACAAAGACAGGTTATGTTATTTGCCAATGTCTTAATGCTACAGTCAGCAGTAACCCCAGGATTATGTTAGTTGTGAACACCAGGTTAACTGTAAAATTTAAATTAGTAAATTTTTATTTGAAAGGGCTTCTCTAACCACATTAAGAATGGAGAACCCAAAGGCTACAAAATCCCATAAATGACAATATAATGTATTGGATAAAACCCTGCAATATCAGTCAACATCTTGGTTTGCCTCTCATAAAAACGTAAAGTTCTTAATAAGACCTTAATTTGGATAGTTTATTTACATGTCTCTCTTCCCCTCTACTTGCTAATTCTCAGAATCACTCGTTCCTGATAGGACCATTATTACATGACATCCTATCATTGCAAATACTCTCAAATCTTCCCAGCTAAACCCTTCCCTTTTCTTATCCTCTTCCCCAATACCCTTTTCTTCAACCTCCAATTCCAAAATCCTTACCCCTGTCTCTCTTGATTGCAGAGGGAGGTGGCAACAGTGATACCAGCACTCTAAGTCACTCAACCCACACTCACATTAAATACACTGGCACTGGCTTAGGATTTCTCTCCACCTCAACTCCTGATACCACCCTAGCTATCCAAACATCCATACTGTTCACTCTTTTTTAAAAAAAACATTTTAGCAGATCCTGGCTTCTCCAATAACCTTCATCCCTGTTTCTACTTTAATCTTCCCTCACATGTCATCACTCTGGAGCCATTGTTCTATGATCAAAATCTCTTTGTCTTTCCATTTTTCCCACTTACACTCTACAAGCTCTTTAACTTTACCAAAACTTGCAGTTCTTCAAAACAGCTATCAGTTCTATGTGTCAATCTACCACTTCAAGCTAATTTTTTCTTTAAAATCTAGTCTGTCAATAAAGTATATGACGTACAGTGTGGTATAAATACTGTGCAGTTTGAATCTCAGTTCTACCACTTTACTCTCTTGCGTGGCCATGGCAAGTTACTAAACCTTTCATGAGTCTCAGTTATCTCATCTGTAAACTATGGATACTTAGCTCACATGATCTTTAGAAGGATTAAATCTAACAGTGTGTGACAACCAGTAAAACAATTTGATAGACTGTCCTAGGCCTTGCTCCATCCATTATGCCATTCCTTAAGTCTTTCTTTCTCTTCTTCTCCACTACTGACATGAGCCAACAAATAAACTTCAACTACTAACTTCGCCCTAAATGACTAGCATCTACTCTATGACTTCTCTGCTTCAGCACTTCTTATTTTCTCTTTAATCTACAGCAAGCTCATCCAACCCGCGGCCCATGGGCTGCATGTGGCAGGACGGCTTTGAATGCAGCCCAACCCAAATTTGTACACTTTCTTATAACATTATGAGATTTTTTTTGTGATTCGTTTTTTTTAGCGCATCCGCTACCTTTAGTGTTAGTGTATTTTATAGGTGGCCCAAGACAATTCTTCCAAAGTAGACCAGGGAAGCCAAAAGATTGGACACCCTCAACCTATAGCAAAACCTGACTTCTGTCCCCATTATTACTCCCACAAAGGTCAATGACATCCTAACGGTTATATCCTTGTCTTAGAAATCACCAATCTAATTTTTCTGTGATATCTAACGCTTTCTCAATACTCCTTTTTCCCTTGGCTTCTAAAATACTTTCCTCTCAGAGCTCTCCTACCACTTAAGCCACTTCCGTCTTTTGGCGTCTCTTCTTTCTTCTACTCTCCCTTAAAAACACTGCTGTTTCTCACTTGTCATCTTTCCATTATTACTTAATATTCTCAATGGGAAATTTTCCACTGGCCTCAACTACTATATATGCTGAAGATGTCACTATAACTCTACCCTCTTAACCTTTTTGAGAACTCAACCTATAGTTAAAGCACCTTGTTGGACACTTTCTACCTTGACATCCAGTAAGCACCCAGACTAAAAAAGATCAAAACTGGGTTATTTTCCCATTTAAAAAACCGGGTTCATCTCTATTCCCACCTTCATTTAAAAGCATTACAGCGGCCTAAATTTAAAATGTTCAAGTCATCCCACAACCTTCCTACTCCTTCCTTCACATTCAGTCAAATAATCGTTGGACATTTGAATTTCTTCTCATATGAGTCCCCAATAGTTCCAAATGCTCTATTCCCAGCTCTGTTTTGTTGTCTTACTACATTCTTCCTCATCAACTGAAGTTCATTTTCTTCTCCCTCCAGTCAACTGTCCTAAGAAGCCCTGCTTTACACAAATTGGATTATCATTCCCTCACTTAAAATACTGAGTCGCCACTGTCTACATGATGAAAACTTCACCTGGTGTCTCTCATTAAGTATCCTTACTGACTAAAGATAGTTGTGGTGAGGAGGGAAGGTAGCTCAAAGAACAAATTTTCTTTCAACTCTTCGGTGTTTCATCTATAAAATTAATGGGAACTCTGTTCAAAATTCATCTTATTACTAACCAGTCAGATAAATATTCAACTTTTCAAGAAAAACTGATTTCCAGGGGCTTCTGCCATGCTCATATTGTGTCTCATATTTTAGGCCTAGCCACCATCCCTTGCCCCACAGTTGGTGATATACAGGTAAGCACAAATCTACACTACTCACAATCTGGTCCCTCAACACTTTCCTTAACAACTCCTCCAAACAACTGTATCCAAAAAGGTATTGCCTTTCCTCCAACTTTTTCTTCTTTCTGTGCTTGTCTTCTGCCCCCTCTCTTCCTGGTTGGAATACCCTTCCCCCATTCCATGCTCTCATTCATGGCTGACTCTTAAAATGCCACTTCTTTCCTGAAGCCTTCCTTCACACAGTCACCATCCTGCCACCAACTCCCAGGTAGAATCACTTTCTCCTTGAGCCTTGAAGAACTTTATAACCAGAACACCCATCACATTTCAGAAGTATCTATTTCCCTTGTGGACTGTGATAGCGATTTTAAAGTTTTAATTATCTTTGTATCTCCAAAGCTAAGGCAAAAGTCAAGTGCCTAGTAAGCACTCATTCAAATGCCACTGAACTGAATTTCTTTAGGAAAAAGTTATTAATGGTCCCTGTTCAAATCTATCCTGAAAGTGTAAAAAGTCAATATATATAATCCAGCAACTAAAATTCTGAAATGTTTAATACTGCTTTTACATATTAAGGGGGGAAACCCCAGAACTCCCCAATCTCACAGTATAAAAATAACACAATAAAACAGTAAAAAAAAAAAAAAAAGAGTTTGGTGACTGTGCTGAAGTGAATAAAAACACTCTGAAGTGGTAAAAGTTACAGTAACTTTGAAAAAGTGGCATCAGAAAAGACACAACTCACTAAATTTTATCTAAATTTTTGGCAATCCTGCCACGGGATGCTAATATATAGAAGTCATTAAAAAACACTGTATTTGTGAATGTAATTCCTAACTACATGAACAGCTCAAGCAAAATGTGTTTAATCACATGCAATAGTATCACTAAATACTACCAGGAAAAAGAATTACATTCCACATTCCAAGTTCATAATGGCCTTTATCCAAATTATAACTCCTGTTAGAAAGGCGTGAACCCAGGAGGCGGAGCTTGCAGTGAGCCGAGATGGCGCCACTGCACTCCAGCCTGGGAGACAGAGCAAGACTCCGTCTAAAAAATAAATTAAAAAAACAAAAACAAAAACAAAAACAAATTATAACTCCTGTCATACAGATTAAATTTAGACATAAAATTATTAAACTGATATTAGGCTGAAATTTAATTCCAATTACTCTTGAATTTACTAAAGGTTATTCTTTGCTCTCCAAACACAGAAAGAAATGCCTTGCAAGGTAATTCAGAAATTTCAGACACAAGGCAATTTCCACCAGTCAATCCTACATCTGAGTAACAGAAATGATATATTAATTCAGAAGTACAAAAAAATCAGTTATGATTCTAGAACTCTTGGACTAAAATCCCAAAGTTAAGTAAATCCCACACCCTCGTTTTAAATCAGAAAAATTAAAAATCTGAAATTCTAGAGAGCAGAAAAATAATTTGTCTCTATATTTATGAACATTTACTTTATTATGGGCAGAGATTAAATGACATTTCTGGCATTTATTAAGATCGTATCATTTCTCTCCATTAATCTTCAAATGTGATAAAATGCACTGCTTTTCTCATGTTGATCCATTCTTACATCCTCAAGATAAACCCCATTTGACTGTGAGGCTTTGTTTTGTTCTAGTTCGCTGAGTGAGGTTTGATTTGCTAGTTCTTAAAAATTTGCAGCCACTATTTGTAATATTTCGTCTCCTCTATTCTCTTCTTTTGGAACTGTTAGCTGTATGTTGGAGTTACTCATCTTATCCTCATGTTTCTTACTCTTCCTATTTTATATCTCTATCTTTGGGTTCAGGCTTCTGGGCTTCTGTCCATTGCAGAAGATTTTAGCCTTTTGTGTCATGGATGTTTTTGGCAGCCTGGTAAAGCTTATGACCCCTTTCTCAGAACAATATTAGGGGCCTAAAACAACATACACAGTATTACAAAAGAAATTAATTATATTGACATAGTTATTGAAATATTTTTCATTTTGATATGGTAATAATGCGGTTCTTTATTAACACTTTAAAATATATGCTCTAGCAATAGCTTTAATAACTATAATAATTTCAAATTAGTGATGACTATAAATGGTATTTCAAGATAGCTGTAACAGCTAACAGCAATTGTGCTATAAGAAAAAAAAAATCCGTAGTTTCTATTGGTGTTATGGGTTGAACTGTGTCTCCCCCAAAATACATGTAGAAGTCCTAGCCCCATGACCTTATTAGTTAAGATGAGGTCATACTGCAGTAGGGTAGGCTCCTAATCCAATGACTGGTATCACTCAAATGAAGATAGAAACACACAGGGAGAACACCGCCATGTGATGATGAAGACATGGAATTATGCAGCTCCAAGCTCAGGAATGTGAAAGGTTCCCAACAACCACCAGAAGCAAGGAAGACAAAAGAAAGGATTCCCCTACTGGTTTTAGAGGGAACATGGCCCTGCCAACTTTTTGATTTTGGACCTTTAGTAATTGTGAGACAATAAACTTGTTGTTGCTTTTTAAGCCACCCAATTTGTAGTACGTTGTTAAAGCAGCAATAAAAACTAACACATTTGCTGTCACAAGTACCTCTAATACTGTCATAGCTTGTTAACACTTCCTTTAATTATGAATGTTCAGGTTGAGATTAGTAAGAACGTCACATTTTCCTTCAAGCCCGCAAACACTCTGAATTTTAAGAATGCTTTGTCTACAGCAACATAATACCTTAGCGTGAAATCCATTATTAATGAACTGTTTTTCATTCTGAGTATCGCAAAAACACAATCTCACAGATATGTAATAATTTTGGTTCTGGATTCTGAGATGCAGCTATGACATAATACTTATCATAAATCTAAACATTAAAGAATAACAAAATTCATTACCTGAGTTAACTTCTTAAACTAATATACAGTTATCCCCTAGTGTTACATTACTGATTTGTATAAGTGACCTAGTAAAAAACTTACTTCTGTAAGTAAAGCATAAAGACTGGTATCTTGTTAGCATATTCCTTGTAGAACTAATCAAGTTGGTGTTTAAGCCCAATAGCCTTTGTTTACTTATTCATCCACAGATGGAGGCCATACTTTTTTTCTCTTTTTTAAAATGAGGGCTGTGCATGGTGGCTCATGCCAGTAATCCCAGCCCTTTGGGAGGCCAAGGCAAGAGGATCACTTGAGCCAAGGAATTTGAGACCAGCCTGGGCAGGACCCGATCACCACAAAAAATTTTAAAATTAGCCAGGTGTGGTGGCACACCTGTCGTCCTAGCTACTTAAGAGGCACAGGTGGGAGATCACTTGAACCCAGGAGTTCAAGGCTGCAGTGAGCTATGATCATACCACTGTACTGCCCTCCAGCCTGGACAACACTGCAAGACCCTGCCTCTTTAAAATAAATAAATACATAAAAAACAAAATTGAGTAGTACAAAATTTTGTGTCATCAAAGATACATGGCTATTAAGCCCAAAGTAAGTCTTAAAAGACTATTAATATACCAATTGTTTCCAAATTTTGTATCTTAATTGTTCAAAATGCATGCTTTTACCTAATCTTCCTACCACTTCTACTCTTAAGTCTTTTGTTTAAGTATGTCAAAAATAACAATATAATAAAATTAACAAAGTCTAAATCATACACCATCAACAAAGGAAGGGCACATATGATGCTTAGTCCAAATTCTTTAATTTATAAATCAGCAAACTGAGGCCTACAGAGCCCAGGATTAGAGAATAAATTAAAAATAGCTACAAAAGAAATCCATCTCCCAATTTCAAGTCCAGTGTTCTTTAGACTATACCATACTGCACAGAAGATGGTAAGAGTTAAATAAATGATGTACAAATGGCTTTTACATGAGCACTTAAATTCTATTTATAATATAGCATTTAAAAACATTCTAGTTACCGCAAAACAACCTAATAAGTTTTTAAATCAATTTTATTTTACCATAAAGCATTTAAAAAATAAGACTTCATTTTCTACCTTCAAAATTGGCAAAGAAAAATTCAGACAACTGTACAGACATTTCAAAGTTTAAGCACTCTCATATACTAAATACTTCTTTTCTAGAGGGCAATTTAACAGAAAGAATAAAATTAAATATTTTCCTCTCTTTTAACTCCATTCTTAGACTATCTCAAGGGAAAAGTAAGAGATCTGGATGGAGACAGAACTCAGGATGGTATGCAACATTGTTTAAAAATAACTAAAATATCCAACAATAGGAGACTGATTACAACTAATGTATATCATACACTGAACATAATGTAGCCACTAAAAATTATATTCTAGAATATTTAACGACTTAAGAAAATATTCACATTAAGCTACAATTGTACCCACTGTGCAATTCCATTCCACTGAGAAGAAACACATGTATATATATAAACTACATAATGCTTTCATAAAGCATTTATAACAGTGCTTGGCATACAGTAAAAATCTAATAAATGAATATGTTTCATCACCAACATCATAAGAAAGGTTTCCATGTAGACCAAAATTTTAGCAGCTGTTATTTAATGGCAGAATTGCAAATAAATTATTACTCACTTTAGAGATCATTTTGTACATTATCTGAAATAAACTACTACTCTTACATGGGGTGAAGCATTTTTTAAATTGGCATTTTTAATGTCGTTCCTGTTCCTACTGAAAGATGGAGAAGAAAAGCAGGCTTGTCTTTACCAATCATTTCCCCAAACTGGGTAAGACTAGTCAAGTTCAAGTTATACAACACCAGAGAAAAGGCTAAATTGTTACACTTTCCCCTTAGGCAGTTCTCAGTCACCAACAGCTGCAGTATAAAATCACGGAATCTGCTGCTGTTTACCCTTTCCTGATCAATTTCACTTCTTTATCCCTAGTCAGTTCCTCACCCTTGGCACTAATGTGGAACCATGGGGGAAAGGGAGAGCAATTTAAAGACTTAAAACTGATAAACAGCTGGAGATACATATTCCTAAATTTTGAGCTTCCTATGCCAAAAAAGACAGACACACAAATGTCTACCTTCTTGTGGATATAACACGGGTCTTCAGATACACCACATAACTCAGAGGCCAAGCACATCCAAACATCCCAACAGCACTTTAGGACAGTTTTTAAGCCTGATCTAAGTTATTTCTCAAACTTGCAGAAACAAAACATGTCAAAAATGAGGCCAATTTTTGTCTTTTCTTAAAAAAAAAGGTAAGCCTTCTTAAACGGGTAATAATTTACTTTTCCCATACTCTTTTTCGGCCTTTTTTTCTAATACAGCTAATGATCTCAAATGCATAAATTCAGAGAAAACAAAAAAATGAGGTAATGAGGCTCCATTAATTCAACCACATTTGTAGAGCATTTGCCATCAAGCACTGTGCTAGGCATACAAACAAAAGTAGGGAATTACAGAATAGCGGTCATAGAAATAAGTAAATAATCACAATATTATATGATTTTAAAACTAATATACATATGTACGAAGTACAGAGGCAACATAGAGGGACAGAGTGTTGAAAGAGGGGAAGAGAGAAGGTCTTTTGGGGAAAAATGACAAATTTACAAAAGTTTGTAAGGAGAGGAATTCTAGGTATGGTATCATAATGTGTTTAAAATATATAATTCAGGATCATAAAGTTTTAAGTGAGAAAGCAGAGGGAAATTAAGTTGAAGCAAGTATGCAGTCATTTAGCTGATTTTTACACAGGCCAACTGAATAATAAGCAAATTTTTATATTATGTATACACCACATCTATATAAACAAACATTAGATGGCTTAATATTACACAGCTTTCCAGTGCTTCCATTTATTTCTAGAATGTTTTCCAATTTTATATATATATATATGTGTGTGTGTGTACATACATATACATACGTAAAATGTATGGGGTGAACATATGTTTATTTACACTTATCAAAAATAACTCACCACTGGGTATATTTTTTATGAGGCACTAAATGATATAACCATAAAAATTTGCTTTCTATTTACGGAAAAACAGTTCAAACTCAGATTACAACATAGTACGTTTATCATACATGGTCTAATTCTAGTTAACCTAATTCCAAAATCTAATATAATCCCAACTTGCTATTAGAAAGCCTAATACTGACACAGGAAGTGTTTCTGGCTAACGTGAACCTAATAAGCCAAATGCTTATTATTTCAGCTACTTCACTTCTCCAAATGTTTTGGCCAAATTGACAAAAGGACATGCAGTGCTATATACACTCAATACCAAAGGACAAAGACTCTTAAGTATTATATAATATGCCTTTAAATGTTTAAAACTCTATTTAGAAGGCTAATTCAATAATGTAAAATATGGTACAGTTATATCTATCGGAAACATTTGACTGGAGTATTAAACAGTCTCTGTGCAAATTACCTACAAAACAAACATGTATGTGGCTATTTCCTCTACTATTTATAACACAAATTCTTTTGCTCTAGAGTATGTTTACTATTTTTGAAAAGTAAGATTTTTAAACATAAATGTGAAACAATCTAAGAAATGCTTTATTCTAATTTATTTCTTCCTTACTTGGTTTGGCATTAAAGCAAAGCCCTACACATAACAGATCCCCCACTAATTCTTGATTAAATATATTCTCACAGTCAGCCTAGGAGTTATCCATTTCTCTACATAAAACTTTAATTTCAAATAATAAGCATGTACTCGAGGATTTCAGAATGAGGCCCTACTGGATTTTACCACAATGGCTATCTAGAAAGGGTTAATGGTTTCCCAGGAAACTGGTGATTTTCACTTTTCTTGAAGGTTGAAATCAGGTGAAAAAGAAACTAAAGAATGTTAAAAATAGTCCCTACTGTAATTAAATCCCTATGAGCAATGGCTTTAAAAAAGAGAAAAGGGAAAAAAATGTAAGGCCCAAATAAAATCCATGTTACAGGGCAGTTTTAAACTGTGCTAAGGCCTTAATGGCTTCTGCCATGATACGTATCTTTCTTCATAATGACTATAAATAATAAATTTCCATTTCAAAACGGTTCACCTATTAAAGATGAGACATAAATTACTATATTAAAAGCTACATTCCAAATAAGTTCACTCTGTGGTTTATCTAATGCACAAGCAAACAATGCTGGCTCTAGTAAAACTGATTATCAGATGAACACATTATTTTCTAATATAATAGAGTTTTTTAAAGTAAAACCCCCAAGATTTTGTTCCCATGAAGAGTTTACCAAAATATTATGCTAAATATTATTATCGCCCTGCCCAAACTTAAAAAGTATTACAAAGCTCCTAGGGAATAATTTATTAATAAAGCAGGATAAATTTGTGAAAAAACGATTTTAAAAGTCTGGGTGAGTGAGATAATTTCCAAGTTGTCCCATACTAAGTACATTTAGATGAAAAAAAAATATTTAAAGCAATCCTCTCACTGAAGATTGCCATCGGTGTTTCAAATATCAACATCTTGGGGATTAAATCACTGGGAGTATTTTCTCAATTTACTGTAATAGCAGTGGAACGCACTATCACTATACAAAAAAACCTGTTGTCTCAATTTATTTATGGCAAGTATTTAAAAAAATGGCCATTTAGAAAAAATATATTTTACTTGTGTTAATTCACATTCCATCATCTGCTTTTTTTATTAGCTGCAACCAGAAGGAAACAAGGAGATATTCACTGCTTTAAGAAAAAAATTAAACTGGTAAGAAGTCTTTTCCCATCTCTAAAAGAAAACTTAACATTTTTAATCCAAACTTTTTGAAAGATACCAATAAAAGTTACCGTCATTCGGTTCAGCATTTTTAGCAGTTCTTCTCCTAAATAACCATTATCTGAGATAGACTTCTTGATCTCCCTCAAAGTAGGTCTAATCTGCAGAAGGCAGGGAGAGACTGTACTGCACTCTGAATGGACAGCCAGGTATTTTATGAATGGAGGCGATCACGTGATCCCAGCACCTCCCCGAACTGATATTTCCCACATAACTGTGTCAACATTCTCAGAACAGGGGTAGTTGTTTGTGTGTGCGTATGTTTTTAAATTTAACCTAAAATTTCACATTCTTCTTACCTTCTGAACTCAAAAATCTACACACAGACAAATAAGCCGCGAATTTTTTTTCTTGGGAAATCCTTTCAAGATGTCCAAGGTGATGGATGTTTAATTATTTTTTTTATGAATGAAGAGTGTGCTATGCAAATGAGGGCGATTCACAAAAAGAGACAGAACATGGCTGCCACTTCTGCTTCTACACTGCACTGACACTGCAGCAATGTACCTCCTTCTACACCCGCTCAGCAGAAGCGTGTGTTTTGGGGTGGGGAGGGAGTAAGGGAGGAGGAAATGTTGTTTGGCCTTTCTCTAGCTATTTTACGTTAAACAGGACTCGGTACAGACTTTAAAAAGTTATTTCAAAAAGGTCTGACTTTAGTAATGCACTGTATTTAAAGGAATGCATCCAAATGACTAAGTCCTAACTCACTTAACTCTTTCCAACCCTCCGAAGATAAACAAAAGTTGAACTTAATTACAAGAAAACGGATGCTAATATTCTGCTTGGAATTAAATCCCTTCTCAATAGAAAAGTGTTGCCAACCATTATTTCTCCACGCAGCTGTCACGTTAAAGCAAAACATTTAAAAGACGAAGTATTTCGTTTGGAAAGCAAGGAGAAAGCCCAAATAAGCTAAAACTTAAACCGGAATGCTCTAAAAGTTAATGAAATCACCAACATATTCAGCAATGTAAATTCGGTTACATCAACGTAAATCATGTGTTTTCACATAGCTGAAAGGTAAAAATTAGCATTCAAAATTCTTCTCCGTTCCTGAAGACACGTCCAATATTCACAAAGGTAAACTCTAGCTCAACATCGCCCACACTCCAGGTGTCCTTAATCCTATTAAATTCTAAAAATGTTTCCCTAACCCTATTTTTTACAAGAATCTTACAGGTCATAAGTTTAAAAGGGGGAGGGGGGAGAGGGTGAAGGCTTAATCGGTATTTAAGAGTCACTGACTCATCGAATTAAGATTCAAGAGCAGTTTGCTGCAGGAGGTGCTCCCACACATTAGTTTCCAAGTGAAACAGCTATAAAGGAAGTAGGATGGATACTGAAGGTATGGTGACTGGTATGTGAGTGAAAAAGGACGGGACAGGGGTCTCACAGGCAAAGGGGTAGTTTCTACTCCACTTCCATCCATCCACATTATTCCCTCTCATAGACGTACAATTGCCATCCTCTCCCAACACTTAATCCCCTACCCCAAAAGAAAGCAGCTAAATGTGGGAGGATGGGGAGGGGTGCTGCCACTAAAAATGGCTAAAGAAATCAGCTATCTCCAGAAGATGCACCGAACTCTCCAGGGTCGCAAGCTTTCCGGCACCCAAGTTTCGGATGGGTCTGGGGGAGAGCCGAGGGCGGATAGGGGGAGGGGGATTAGCAATCGAGATCAATGAGGCGCTTACTCGTTGTCAGAAGTCGCCGTCTCCTCGCTCATCTTTCCCTCACCGTGATCCGATCTGGAGATGGAGGAGCAACAGCAGGCGGGGGAGCAACAGCAGCACCGAGGGGCAGGAGGCAGCGGCGGCCGGGGGGGCGCGGGGGCAGCGGCACAGGGGCCTCACCATGGTGGATGCCTCACCCAGAACGGTACCCCCCCAGCCGGGAACCCCGGCCACCCCCGCAGGGGGGTGGCGGCAGCAACCTCCGCCGTGGCGACCCCAGCCTCTTCCCCCGCCTCAGTGCCCAGCCAAGGGATCCGAGGAGGCCCGGTGGAAAGGGAAAAAGAGAGGGGCTGCAAAGGCTGACTGGAGAGCTGCTCCTCCAGCCACTGGGGTGGAGCGCAGCGGGGTCCGGCCAGGAAGGAGTCGGCGGGCGGAGAACCCGGGAGCAGAGGCGGCGCTTCCCTCAGGGATGCGGCGAGGAGGAAGCAGAGCTCCGCTCGGTGGGGGCCGGCGGGGGGGTGCCGAGCCCAGGCTCCGGGCAGCGGCGGCGCGGTCCTGCCGGAGCCCACCCCACCATCTCCCGCCTCGCCGCCGGCTGCCCCTCAACCCCCGGCGGCGTCTGGGTCGGTCCTCAGGCGCCGGCAGAGCAGGGCTAGGGGCCCCGCGGCGGCGGATTCCTCCAGACACGCTCCAGCCGGGACTCCTCCTCAGGGGGGTGGAGGGGGCGGCGGGGAGCGTGTGAGGCGAGGGGCAGGCAAACCGATCGTTCCCACCCGGCCGGAGAAGAGCGGGCGGGCCCGGGTCCGGGGGGCAGGATCCCGAGAAGCGGCGGGAGAGGACAAGAGCGGCTGCAGGTTCCCCGCCAGCCAGTGCCCACCAGCAGCTCAGCGGGCCAGCTCCTCACGCCCGAGAGAGGGGAGCCGCGAGGGGGGCGGCGGAAGCGCTCACGCCGCCCGCTCCTTCCGCCGCCGCAGCCGCTGCCCGAACCGGGGGCGCCCGCGAGAGAAGGAGGCGAAGTAGTCCCTCGCGACTTCTCCCGGCCGCCCGCTTTCCCCGGAGGCCAGAGCGGGCGCGGGGTGGGGCTGCCGAGCGGGGTGCCCAGGCTGTGAGGGTGTGTGGGTAGGACTAAAAGCCGCGGCCTCCGGGCGAATCACTGCAACTCGAAGTCATGTGCAGCATAGCAAGTTTCAGGAAAGTAGTTCCCTCCTCCCTTCATTTCCCAAATCGTTGTCGAGCCACTTAGCGGAGAAAGGGGGAGGGAGGCGGAGGGATATCCTCCCTGCACCGTGCTCGGTGTGCGTGCGCGCGCTCCAAACTCTTGGCACGCCGCGAAAGGGGGCGGGGGTGGGAGCTGCGAGGGGAGCTGCTAGGGAGGTTGCATTGTTGTGGCGCGTTACTCCCCGTTACTCTGCTTGGAATATCCGGGTTGCTTGAACGAAGAGGCTAGAAAGACAGTGTGCTCAGAGGGGAAATCTGGAGGCTACTCTCTTCTGCCGTGTGTGTGTGTGTGTGTGTGTGTGTGTGTGTGTGTGTGTGTGTGTTTTCTTTGCAGAGCAAAGAATGGAACTGGCATGAGTTCATCTTTAGTTAGTGGGGGTTAGAAGCAGGGACTGCAAAGAGAGCTCCTCCTGCTGTCCCCCTGGTTGCACTGCTGCAGTCCCCTAGCTGCATGCACGAAGTGTATGTGTGTGTGTGTGTGTGTGTGTGTGTGTGTGAGAGAGAGAGAGAGAGAATATGAGAATGTATGTGTGTTTTAACACCTCGCCTCGCTGCCTGGATTCTTACTGCGCAAGGGGTATGCTATCAGGGCATTCATCTCGGAAAGCTGGAGTGATTGTTAATGGAGAACGACTTCCATTGAAGCCCAGGGTAGGCGTGTTACATGAATCTGGCGCAGCCAGAACGGAGGAAATAACTCCCGCTGCGAGTGAGGTTGCATAACTATAGCGCAGGAGATGCTTCTGTGGCACGAACTGCTCTGAACGGAGGCGGACCGATTGGATAGACAGCTGTCACGAATGCATTGTTAGAAGACAAAGTATGCATTCATCTCAAAAGATTTTTGCACAGAAACCTACTGGGGTTGCGGGCTGGAGCCTAAGGTCAGCCCAGCCACAGGAGTCAGAGCTCCTGGCTCTGCAAATTCTATTATCTGTTCTCCACTTAGAAAACCAGCCTGTACATGAACCACCTTAGGGGACTGAATCCCAAGTGCTCCCAAGTTCCTGACGCATCTTCCCAGATATAAGTCTCGCCCTGCGTGCAATGTTTTTCTCTTCCTTCTCAGATTTGTGCGACCTAAGAATGAAGGTTGCCGCTGGTGCCACATTAAAGAGAACAATTCCCGAGGAAAAAAAGAAGTTGGGAGAACCTCGTTAACAAGGCAGCACTCCTCTTCTACCATCCCTCTCCAGGAATCGCAGGATTGTTGTTCTGAGAATGAGCGTGCACAGTAGTGCACTGTTAACAGTGTTTTGCACGTAGCAGGTGCTTAATAAATGTTTGACGAATGAACAGAGGCGCTAAACCAGTCAATGTACCCAAAAAACCATCCCATTGATTTCTGAGGTCTCTTTATGTAACTTGATTCCTGCCTCAGCAGCAGCATTGTCCTTACTCTTGAGAAAGAGAGGGGCAATGTTGATGATGGTCTGTGCTAGACATGACCTCTAAACCTGCCTTTTTGAACTTATTCTTGCCAAGAACTTATACATGGGAGTGTTGATACTGGCCTCTTCCCCTTCCAGGACTACTGTTAACCAGTTAGGCTGCTCAAGTTTCAGTCAAGTACCATCAGTTATAATCTGTGTTCTTATCCAAGTTACTGAAACTCTGGGCCTGCATAAAATGGGGATAATAGTACTTAACTTACACAGCTGTTGTGCTGATGAACGAGATAATAATATACAGAGTTACTTAGAACAGATTAAGAATTCACAGTAAGAATAAGTCCTAGTTCTTACTACTGTTTTGTCAGAGATAGTAATAAACTTCATGGCAAAATAGTGGCAGATGCTCTGAGGATTAAATGTAAAGCATTCAATATTCTTGTTCATGCATTCAACAAATAACTATCAGTTGCTAGACACATGGCCTGGTCCTTAGTAAGCCATTAATAAATGAAACTATCACAGTTATTATGATTAAGTAAATAGAAGGAAAGTCGGTCATTTGCAAAGGCCTTTATCTTTTGAAGATTTGCATCTGTTTGAGGTTCTAGTGTATCAAGGAAATTGTCAGTATAGTCTTTGGAAGAATCTTGGTTGTCATGAGCCAGGCACTGTGCTGGCTATTTCCACATTCCACATACACCACACACTGCTTACATAAAGGGAGCAAGATGTGATCAATAGCCCAAATTAATGCTTTAAAGATTGCTCTCAACTCCACGACCAAGACATAGTCAGCAAACCATCCACAGCCTTTGGTGGTCCTATGCCATTTCTAGAACACTTTTGTGCCCTTTTTTCAACAACGCATTTGTAGTTCTCTCACCCAGTTGTTAAAGATCTCACCAACTTTTTAAAAATTTGCTTTGGTTTAGCAGAGCTCAGAGTCTTCTACTCTGAAGCAGTCAGAAATGGTGCTACTGCTCAGAGCCAAGGGATCTTCTAGTCTGACTGTCAATCACTGGCTGCTCTATACTCAGGAGGCCTCGACTTATCTATCCGGGTGTCTGGACCTTAAGAGTAAAGAGACGTACCAACCAAAGACAATGTGTGAGATCTTATTTGGATCGTGACTTAAATATTTTTAAATTTGGGACAACTGGAGAGATTTGAACATTAACTGGAGATTTGATGAAAACAAGGAATTTTTTTTAAGTATTGGTTTATGGCAACATTTTCTTCAAGTCCTTACCTTTCAGAGATATGTACTAAAATATTTACAGATGAAACGTTATGCTTCAGAATAATCCACTGGGGTGAGGAGTAGGAAGAATGGGTAAGGATATAGATGAAACAAGATTGGTTATAGATTAATGATGAATACATTCTCTTTACTATTTTATAATTTAAAATGTTCTATAATAATTTTTTTAAAATACACTGCAAGTACTTAAAATGCAGATTCCTAGACCCCAGCTCAGAAATTGTGATCACTAGGTCTATGATGGGGCCATGCTTTTGTAAGTATGCCAGGTGCTTGGCCCTTTTTAGTCCTTCATCATCTACTCCCCCTTTCCTTAAAACCATTTTTGTCATCCTGTCTCCCAGCACATCCGTGATTGAAAGCTGTGTTCCAGCTAAACACAAAAAAGGGTGGCCAGTGGTATATCATAAGCTTAGATAGACACTGGTCAAGGCCAGAGGGATAGTTCAGTTAGGAAAGGGGATCCAGCCAGATGTGAGAAGCTAAATACAGATCACAGTTTTGTCTTAAGCTCCAACTCCATTCAGTTGGTACTAATCAAGAAGAATTCTATGGCCACATTCGGGCTCAGCAAGAAAGGAGATACTTATATTTGCTCAGTTGTGTTTTCTAGGTAGCCCTGTGGGAAGGAAGCTAGTCACAATAGCTGGTTATCACAAGTGACTATCTGTATTATTGTCCTCAGCTTTAGGAATTAGCCACAACCATTTAATGACCTGTTCGAGGTAATTAATTATCAATAGGATCCATGGGCCAAAGAGGGAGGAACAAGAGAACAATTGCCAAGTAATTGCCAGTATAGGATATGATCCAAGTTAAGAAGGTACAAGTGGATTCTGAGTTCCATGTAGGTATCAGGCCAGGGTTTATTCACAAGGACAGCAAAAAGTAGGCTGTCCTCACTGAGACACTGGCAGATGGCATGCTATTTTCCTATTCAAAGTTTCTTTTCTTTTTTTCACATTGCTCAGCCCATAGTAATCATCTTTCTTATGAGTTCAGAATTGGTCTTCTCAGATTCTTTTATTTTTGCCTTTGCTGTTTATACTTGTGTTGATAATTATTATTTTTGCTGATTCATTTTTTATGAGTTTATATTTGTTTTCCCAATTAAATTTTAGTGACTTGAAGGTAGGGGCTGCCCTTTATATTTTTTGGCATCCTTTTTAGCAGTGGTCGTAAGTAATAGAGGCTTTTTAGGTAAAATACTATACCAGAGCCTTGACTATATATAAAAATGAAGCTATACTGACTGGCACTGGAGTTGAAATCAGGAATCCCCTCTGGCTTACTATTGGGACTTAATACTATTGCAGTTTAGCATTTCACATACACTGTGCCTTGCACCAGAAGCTCTCATCAGATATTTGTATTCTTGAGAAGCCAAAAGAGGAGACAGCCATGCCAACATATGAGGTTCTAAAAGTACATAAAATACAAGTGCATATTTCCATTTCTAAAATTACCCTTAACATTACTCCTTAGCAGATGTTATTAAAATTTTGTTTTTTAAAACTGTAGTTAATGTGTGCCTTGATCAATCGGAACTTCCTATTTTCATCATGTACTTTGTTTAATAAATGATTTTTTTTCTTTAGTTTAACCAGTCTCTTGGCTAATGAGCCCTGCCTCTCAGTGGAATTACTAAGTGGTAACCATGTTTCTAAATAGTTTCCTTGCCTCTGGCATGAGTCTGCTTCCCCATCACTAGGATTCCCATGTTCTTCCAAACTAATGCAAAGTATAAAGGATAAGTATGCTGTTTTCCTTTTTTCCCTAAGGACGGCAATTGTTGGTTTGGCAGTATCCGGTGAGTGTGTAATCAGTTTACTTTTAATGCTATAACTGCCTTTTACAGGAAGTTTCCACAAGATTAGGATGAGTACAAGGGAAATGAGCAGTCTGCAATTTCCTTTATTTTCTGTATAATCTTAGCAGGGAGGATGCTTACCAGACCCCACACTACTAAATAAAGCACTTACCATTATTCTCCCAAATGGCTTTAGCATGCTCATTCTTTAACGGTTATGTCCCACTACAACAAATATGAAGGACTGAAATACCCATCATAAAATAATCCAAGGCCACGTGCAACACAAATTTAGTATGACAAAAGATTCTAGGTTGGTTCCTTGGATTTTGCTTTAAATATGGCATTGCTTTCCCTTTTAATGAGTACTAATTAACCATGGTATAGGATTACAACAGGATTACATTTGAAATACACATTGCCCTTCAGGAACTTACCTTCCTAACACCCTTCCCCAGTAGGTATTATTATTAACTCCAGGTTACAAAGAGACTTGCAAACTGAAGATCAGAGAGGTCCCAGAGGTTACACAATAGTAAAGGCATGGCTAGAGCTCAACCCCGTTTCATCCCCTCCTTCAAAATTCTGTGTGTGTGGGTGTGTATGTGTGTATGTTTCAATATTATAATTTCTCAAAGATGGGATATTTGGTGGGATAGACTTTCAAGTCATTATTACTTTGGATAATGATTTAACAGGAGAGTCCTACTTTTAGATAACGAAAGAATTAAATTCCTTGGCTATTATCAGCTGCCTTTTGTGGGCCTCAGGTACGTAAGTTCCTTTATACCATCAGTTCTTAGAGTAGGGTCTGGGGACATCTGGAGTCTCTTTTGTAAATTGGTTTCTAAATCTAGAGCCTTGATAGGAGGACTACTTCAATCAGAAGGCAAATAACATCTGGTTGTCTTTGGGTGATGCTAGCAGATATCGATGATCATGGTAACCACTAGCCATATGTGGCTGTTTATTCCTCAGGTATACTAGCCATGTTTCAAGTGCTCAATAGCCACAAGTGGTTAGTCGCTATCATATTGAACAATCTAGATATAAAACATTTCTGTCATCACGGGTTGTTTTCTTAGACACATGAATGTGCAAATGTGTTGCTGTAAATAACAAAAGTAGTTATCTTGTTATTAAAGTAGACATGTAACAAGGATTATGCTCTCAAATACATTATTAGTGTGAACTGGGGCACTGTAGATCATCTCTTCATTGCCATTAACTAAGGGTAAAAGGGAGGATAATTTCATAATTATCTTTGATGTATAAGTCTTTGATAAACCTACAGAACATATCTATACTGGGAAGCATAAATTCATTGACTGGTTTATTTTGTTAAAAAATGGTTTTTGTTTGTTTAGTTTGGGTTTTTTTTTTTTCTTCCTCTGTTGCCCAGGCTGGAGTGCAGTGGCACAATCTCAGCTCATTGCAATCTCCACTTCCCAGAGTCAAGCAATCCTCCCACCTCAGCCTCCAAGTAGGTGGGACTACAGGCACCCATCACCATGCCCAGCTAATTTTTGTATTTTGTAGAGAGGGGGTTTCGCCATGTTGCCCAGACTGGCCTCAAACTCCTGAGCTCAAGCAATCCATCTGTCTCGGCCTCCCAAAGTGCTGGGATTACAGGCGTCAGCCACCACACCCCGCATATAAAAATGTTTTGGCCAGGCGCTGTGGCTCACGCCTGTAATCCCAGCACTTTGGGAGGCAAGGCAGGCGGATCACGAGGTCAGGAGATCGAGACCATCCCGGTTAACATGGTGAAACTCTGTCTCTACTAAAAACACAAAAAATTGGCCGGGCATGGTGGCGGGTGCCTGTAGACCCAGCCACTCGGGAGGCTGAAGCAGGAGAATGGCGTGAACCCAGTAGGTGGAAATTGCAGTGAGCCAAGATCGCACCACTGCACTCCAGCCTGGGCAACAGAGTGAGACTCCGTCACACACAAAAAAATGTTTTAAGTGTTCATGTTTAATATTGCATATCCTTGCCACTCAAAGCTGCAAAGCTTCACCCGGAAGCTTGTTAGAAATGCAGGCCCTTGGGCTCCACTCCAGTCTTCCTGAATTAGAATCTGCATTTTAACAATACCGCCGTATGATTCATCTGTGCATTAAAGTTTAAGAAGCCCTATTGTAAGTAATCTCTTTATCTTTATTATTATTATTATTTGAGATGGAATCTCGCTCTGTTGCCCAGGCTAGAGGGCAATGGCGTGATCTCGGCTCACTGCAACCTCTGCCTCCTGGGTTTAAGCAATTCTCTTGCCTCAGCCTCCCGAGTAGCTGGGATTACAGGCGTGCGCCACCACACCTGGCTAATTTTTGTATTTTTAGTAGAGACAGGGTTTCACCATCTTGGCCAGGCTAGTCTTGAACTCCTGACCTCGGGTGATCTGCCTGCCTCCGCCTCCCAAAGTACTGGGATTACAGGCATGAGCCACCACACCTGGCCAGTAATCCCTTTATCTTTAATAGTGTCCCTTCCTAACCTTGTTCTTCAAGCTTGTCCAGCTTCCAAGTATGCAAAAGTCAGAGATTCCCATTACCATTTCTAGCCCTTTTTCTGCACTCCCCACCCCAAAACAGGATTTTTATTCCTGTTTTACTTTAGCCTCTTTTTCCTGGCCTGTGACTTGGACCACTCAGCACCTTGTCTCTGTTCATCTCTGGATTAAGCCCACTGCTCACCCGTAGCTCCCTGCAGTGCTGGCAGGGGACTGTGGCCTTAACAGTTGCTCCCTGCTTTCCCTCTTTTCTCTAAAATCTCTGTGCTTTTCTAAAAAAAAAAAAAAAAAAAAGTCTTCCCCCCGCCTTCCCGCCCTCAACTCTCTAGCTTACCTGAAGGTTCCCTCCTCTTCCCACTGCAACATCACACTTTAATTGGACTTTTTCACACTTCATTAGGCACCTGTAAAGCCTGGTGTTTCTACATAGTCACTCAGGAGACCTTAAAACTTTGCATTTTGTTGTAGCTTCCATGTAGTCCACTATAATTTTAGAAAGCTAAACAAAACAAAAGACCCTGCATTTTCATGCCACATTGGCCCCTCCAGCCCTCTGTGTTGGCAGTGTGTGTGTGCAGTTTCATAGTTATAATTCAAAGTCAGAATATAGGTAGAGGTGGGAGGAGAGCTATAAAGAAAATGTCAGTATTCAAGGGAAAAATAGCAGTTATTTTTATATATTATATTTTTATATGTTTGTATAACATTTTATATTATTTAAATATTTCCATTTGGTTTTCCATGTCTCCTTGCTATACTGTAAGATTTTGGAGACCAGTAAAAAGGCTGTTGCAATCATCTATACAGGAGAAAACTGAGGACATTGCTCATGGGGCTAGAAAGAAGATGACTATAGACATATGTAGGTGGTAGAATCTACAGGACTACTCTAGGTACAGGGAGGAGGCCTGCTTTCCAGAAACTTACAGTCTAGCTAGGGAGACATAGAACCAGAAGGAAACATTTAGATTCTATAAATTGCAATATGACTAAATGCCATAAAAAGTAATAAAATTAACTCGTTTTTCTCCAATGACACTAATCTTATTAGTATCCTCAAATGTGTCTGTTTTGAAGATCTATGATATTATCTTTAGTACTTTTGTACAGAGAAATAAAGAATACACACCCAAAGGAAAACTTCTTCTGGTTTAAAAATGCTAAAAGCTTCAGTCCAGTGACATCTGGCCAGTTCGTACATCACCAGAAAGAGATGTTTTTATTTTCCATAAGATTTAAAATCCTAAGACACTGGCTTTCCTTCATCCTAGAGAATGCCTCCTTCAACTCTAAAGCTCTTTATCAAAAAGCCCTAAAACAATTAACACCCTCATTGCCTCCTAGGTTTTAGCCAATTTTTGTTTATGTCAAGTTTCCTTCTTTTGTTGGATCGTCCCAGACTTCCTTCTGGGTCCCCTGCCAAGATGCCATGCATTTTGAACAGTCTGTCTTTACCTATCTTATTCTTGCTTATTTCAGGTACAGTCAGATGCCTCATAATGACTTTCAGTCAACGATGGACTGCATATATGACATTGGTCCTATAAGACTATAATACCTCGTTTTTATTGTACCATTTCTATGTTTAGATATGCAAATATTGACGCTTACCATTGTGTAACAACTGCTCACAGTATTCAATACAGTAACACACTGTACAGGTTTGTAGCCTAGGAGCAACAGGCTATACCATCTAGGTTTGTCTAAGTACAGTCTGTGATGTTCACACAAAGAGGAAATTGCCTCACAATGCATTTCTCAGAATTTATCCTTGTCTTTAAGTAACACGTTACTATATATCTCCCGATATTTTCCATAAAGCTTTTTGGAATTGATTTGGGAAAATAAAATTACTTTCTGCAATCTTAAATTATTTGGTCCAGAGTATGTCTTAGGAATGTAATTATCCTTTATAAGTTCCAATTATCCTTTATAAGTTCCATGATTCTGTCCTTAACTATGTATTTGTTTAATGTCTGTATTTAGCTAACCATCCTTTCCAAATTTTATGAAGTCTCAAATTTCATATTATCATTCATTACACAAATTATTTTGTATAATAACTTGTAAAGTGAGATGTCAGATAGGCACTTATTATATGTTATTTTATTATGGTAATAGTAATTTATTACTCTAGTAGGACAACTCTTAGTTTATATTTTGAATTTATGTCTCTGGAGCTCCTATCCATTTAAATGGCATGGAAATTTTGACATGGTTTCATCCAGATTCATAAACTCTACTTATGTGTAATTCCAGTTTATTTTTACTTTTCATATATCTAAAATATCAAATTTTCTTGAAAATCACTTGAAGTGTAACTCATTTAATTCTAACCATTATTATTGCCTGGTTTTGCTCTTTTTAGACTTTTCCTTATCACCTTCACTCCTGATATTTATCCTATTTTACAGAGCCAACAGTACTCAATAAACAATAGAAAGAACCTTCAGAAAACTATCAGAGCCATCTAGAATTCATTAGAGAGTGGTGTTTAGGTCCAACTTTCAAAGGGTCCATCTTTGATAAACTCACAGAAGATATCTATATCAGCAACACTAATTTATTGACTTACTTATTTTATTTGCCAGGCTCTTATTATAGATGAAATGAAAGCAGTTCTTAAACTCAAGAAGTTTATAGTCTAGTAAAGGTGTAAATTGGTAATTACCATTACCATGGTAAGTGCTATAAGAGTTACTATGGGAGAAACTGATTTTGCTTCACAAAGTAGAGGATTAACAGCAGATGAGTTACCGTGAAGCATCATAGTGAAACATAAACAAGAACAAGGAAGTGAAAAACAGTCCTTGAAATTGACTTAACCATGTGTTCAAGGAGAATGTAAATAGAAAAAATATGCTAATTGTTACTTATTTGTATAACTTCAGCTTTCAAAGGGCCAATTGAAGCTAAGAGAGATTTGATACGTGTTTGGATATTTTTTTTGGTACACTTTTATATGGCAAGGCTAGGACTTGGCTGAAGAGGAAACCCCATCAGAATTAAGCTGTCATAGCCATTGCCCAACCTTTAACCTATTTAAATATGTTATCCTTTTCACCAGCACCTATTTCATTTTCCCTGGGAAAATATCTGTTTGGTACCACACAGTGACCCAATGGATGTTTATGTAGCTGACTTGTTTGTTTTCAATTATATTTTCTGGCAGTTTTTTATTACATGGGCCCTTTGTGGCTTATTTCAGCAATCTCCTAATTTAGTACCTAAATACTCTGAGAAAATTATCTTTTACATAATGCACTTGGTTTGAGTCCCAACCCAAGAACTGAGAGTGGTTGTCTTTTTTATTAATTCTAAATGCCTGGCTGTCCATGGTGGCTCACACCTGTAATCCCAGCACTTTGGGAGGCTGAGGTGGGTGGATCACCTGAGGTCAGGAATTCGAGACCAGCCTGGCCAACATGCTGAAACCCCATCTCTACTAAATATACAAAAATTAGCCAGGCATGGTGGTGGGCACCTGTAATCCCAGCTACTTGGGAGGCTGAGGCAGAAGAATGGCTTGAATCCGGGAGGCAGAGCTTGCAGTGAGCCGAGATCGCACCACTGTACTCCAGCCTGGGTAACAAGAGCGAGACTGTATCTCAAAAAAAAAACAAAAAAAAATTCTAAGTGTCCAAGGCCACCTGTTCTGATTCTCATCTTATCCATTACAATATAGTTTTTACTAGGCCTCCTGTTTCTCTTGTCTCTTCTGAATGCATGTAAAAATTCTATACTAGACACATTTTTGTTGTGTTTATTTTATTCCAAAAAGTGTTCTTGGTTCTTAGTGTTTGCTCTGAATATCAGATTAAGAAAACAGTAGCCTTACTTTCTAAGATCTCTTTTATCTTCCCCAAATGTCTAGTATTGTTGATAGGTAGAAATTGCCTGTTGCCTTTCAGAAATTTAACGGACACTTATGTGCACCTATGTCATGTATAATTCAAAGGAATAATTTTATTTATTGATTGATTTATTAAAACAGGGAGGGTCTAACTGTATCACCCAGACTGGAGTGCAGTGGTATAATCACAGCTCACCGTAACCTCAAACTCCTGGGCTCAAACAATCCTCCTGCCTCAGCCTCCCAAGTAGCTGGGACTACAGGAGTGCACTACCGTGCCTGGCTAATTTTTTAATATTTGTAGAGAAAGGGTCTCACTTTGTTTCCCAGGGTGATCCTGAAGCCCTAGGCTCAAGTGATCCTTCTGCGTTGGCCTTCCAAAGAGCTGGAATTACGGGTGTGAGCCACTGCACCTGGCCCAAAACAATAATTTTTAAAAGGCTCAAAATAATATCAAGATGAAGAAATCTCAATACTTAGCTCAAATCAGATATATTGGAATTTAAAGTCCACATGTACTCTCCATATATAACCCTAGTAATCCCCAAGTGCAAAGACAAAACTGCTAAATTGCCATTTTTGCTCATTTAATAACTAAACCAAGTACTCCTAAAAACTTAGAACTGTATAAAAAAGTGTACAGAGTAAAAGTGAGGACTCCAATCCCACTTTTCTCAAAGGTGACCACTATTAGCTGTTTAGAATACAAGTATATAATTTCAGATCCTTTTCCGTATATTTACACACACATAATAAACACAAGTTTTACATATTATAATGCTACTTTTTAACAAGCTGTGTATATTTTTATATGAGTATTCATTATTTTAAATGGTTATATAGTATTTCATAATGTGGGTATACTACAAGTTATTTATTTCTATTTATCTGTTTCTGTCTACAAATGGACATCAATCATTCATTGTTTTAGATTTTGTTATTTCTATTGAAAACAATTCTTTGGCTAGGTACAGCAGCTCATGCCTGCACTTTGGGAGGCTAAGGTGGATGGATCACTTGAGGTTGGGAGTTCCAGACCAGCCTGGCCAACATGGTGAAACCCCATCTCTACTTAAAAATACAAAAATTAGCCAGGCCTGGTGGTGGGCACCTGTAATCCCAACTACTCAGGAGGCTGAGGCAGGAGAATCACTTGAACCCGCTCAGGAGGTGGAGATTGCAGTGAGCCAGGATCACTGGCTGGGTAACAGAGTAAGACTCTGTCTCAAACAAACAAACAAAAACAATTCTTCAGTGATTATCCTTGTACAGTTATCTTTGGACGTAAAGGCAAAGATTTCTCTCAGGAAGATTTATATAAGTGAAATTGCTACATCAAAGAGAATGAATATTTTAAATAATAAAAGATAATGCCAAACTGCCCTCCGAAAAGCATTGTTCCTTTTTTTAACCAATATTTTTTAACCAGTAGTGTGTAAGAGTACCTTTTACTCTATAGGTGCACCCAAAGTGGATATTAACAATCTCTTCATTTTTTACCAGTGTGATGCCCTACCAAAATGGTATCTTGTTGTTTTATTTTGTGTTTCCCTAATCACTAGGTTTAATTTTATTCATGTTTCTTCTTCAGTGAGTTCCCTAATTTACCTGTTTCTTAATTTCTCTTTGCTTCAATTTCCTTAGCTATACCATTAGCTGTTGTTGTGAAGTAACTGTAATGAGATTAATATGGTTAGGTCTGTGTCCCCACCTAAATCTCATCTTGAATTGTAGTCCCCATAATCCCCACCTGTTGAGGGTGGGTCCAGGTGGGAGGTGATTGGATCATGGTGCTGGTTTCCCCATGCTGTTCTTGTGATAGTGAGTGAGTTCTCACGAGATCTGAAGGTTTTATGAGGTAGTCTTCCCTGCTCTTGCTTGCTTTTCTCCTTCCGGCCACCTTGTGAAGAAGGTGCCTTGCTTCCCCTTCACCTTCCGCCGTGATTGTAAGTTTCCTGAGGCCTCCCCAGCCATGCTGAACTGTGAGTCAATTAAACCTCTTTCCTTTATAAATTATCCAGTCTAGGGCAGTTCTTTATAGCAGTGTGAAAACTGACTAATACAGAGAATATTCATTTATTAAACAGTATTAGCAGTAGCTCACTGTCTTTTCTAAGAAAAATAATATGTGAAAAATAACAGTCTTGTTCAGAAAGGCTTTTCAAAATTTCATTTTCTATATTTAATATTCTATTGTTATTTATGTAATTTTAAAGTTTGCTTTCCCTCCAGCCACAGAGAAATATTGCATACATTATATTCAGACTAGCAATAACAATACACATACTATAGGGAGAAATTCAATGGAATTACTTCTTTTCTATTACTATAAAATGTACATTTGTTCAAAGTGTTTCCTCAGCACTTTCCCCAGCACAAAGGTGTTAAATGAGCCTTATTCCTGAAAGTGTTAACAGATGCCTAACTTTCTCCTCTCCCAAACCAATAATATAGAATAATTCTCTCAATAAATACAAACAGGCAAATGTTGCTAGATGCTTTTATATAAAAGTGTGTGGTCACATTCTTCCCTGCAGGGTAGGGGATGTGAAGGTAATCATAATGGTTAACATCTATTGGGTGCTTACTGCCTGCCACAGCCTCCCTTCCATGCGCTTTACATATGTTAATACTGCTGACCAAGAGACAGGTACTATTAATATCATCCCCATTTTAGTGGTAAGGAAATGAAAACACATAGAGGTTAAATTATATGCTTGAGAAGGTTTCATAGCAAGAAAGTAGCAGAGCTCTGATTCAAACTCAGGCCATCTTGTTCCGGAACCCCACTTACAACCATGATGCTGGGCTTTCATGACCAATGCTTGACTAAAATAGCAACAGAGGGGGAAGGAACTAGAAAAATAACATGCTCAAGGATGCACAAGGGAGAAAAGAAAGAAGTAAGGGATAAGAGAAGAGAAAAAGAAACAAAAATAGAGATGTAGACAAAAGGGAGGCAATAAAAAAGAAATGGAGACAACTACCCTCCAAACTTCTCATGCCACCAACACAATGGCCAACTAACTCGAGCTTGCTCATATCAGCACTAATGAAATGCACTGCATTTTGGATTTGGTCTTCCTAATCCTCCCTAGTCTTTGGCCTAGCCACCCCCTTCCCTCCACCTATAGGCATACTTCTTCTAATATGGGAATATTGTCCTAGCATCTCCCCCTGCTTTACTTCTAAGGCTGACAAAAATTGTAAAAGATGAACTCTTACAAAGCAAAATGGGATCAACTCTATACTCATTGATTTGTGCTTTTAGGCTTAATACAGGCCGGTGGCATATGTACAAAGTGTGCCCTTAAAAAATTATAGCAAAGATAAGATAGAAAAAAAATTATAGCAGAAACATTATAGAATTCTGATTTGCATTTCAAGTTCTCCTTAATTCATTAGACTCACCTTATCTTGTGCACGGTAGAGAAGGTAATGAGGATCACTCCATGACAGTGGTTCTCAACCGAGGACAATTTGGGTGATGAAACATTGGTGATGTCTAAAACATTTTTAGTTGTCACTACTGGCAAGGTTGGAGGGAATGCTGCTGGCATTTAGTGCATAGAGGCCAGGGTTACTGCTAAAGACAGCCCCTCGCAACAACAAATTATCTGATTGAAATGTTGGCAGTGCTAAAGATGAAAAACCTTGTTCCATGAGGCAACGCTACCCAGGCTCAAGTGAAAGCTCCTCTCTGGTGGCATGGGAATTTGTTCCCTAACAAAGATACAAGGACAGGTGACACTTTTCTTTCCAACCAAATTCTTCTTAGCCAGGAGCAGTGACTCACGCCTGTAATCCCAACACTTTGGGAGGCCGAGGCGGGCAGATCACCTGAGGTCAGGAATTCGAGACCAGCCTAGCCAACATGGCGAAACCCTGTCTCTACTAAAAAATACAAAAATTAGCTGGGTTTGGTGACGCTTGCCTCTAGTCCCAGCTACTCAGGAGGCTGAGGCAGGAGGACTGCTTGAATGCGGGAGACGGAGGTTGCAGGGAGTGGAGATTGTAGCACTGCATTCCAGCCTGGGTGACAGAGCAAGACTCTCTCAAAAAAAAAAAAAAAAAAAAATTTGTTTTCCCTTCCAACTCCTTCCTGTCCGGCCTAAGCCTAGGCCATTGGTTTGAAAAAAAAACAACAACAACAAAATAAAAGTTTTATAAAGATCCAAGCCAATATATTTGCTTGCAATTTCTTGTCTGAGTTTTCTACCACTGATCAAGGAATATTTTGCCAAAGGATTTTGTGAATGATATTATTTGGGTATCTCTTTATAAAGCTATGGATTAAAATGAAACTGAGCAGGTGTTGTTGGGATAATAATAGAAGAAAAAAAGGGAAAACCTTTATTCCACTGAAACTGTCTAAGGAATAATTATTACCCAATAATTAGACTCAGACACTTGGATGAATATTCCTTATCTCAAAAAAACCTTACTTTACAGATTTGAATGTTGACTCTTTTATGTGTCTAATAATAATAATGTGATATATTTATGTCACATTCTAAGAATATAAAAATGCTTAATAATTGTATCTGAAGTTGATATACTATTTAAAATTTTATATACCACATACTCTGCTCAATCCTATGTACATGATTTTATTTAAGCCTCGTATACCCACCTAGCAGATATGGAAACTAAACACTCAAGTTATTTGCCTAAGCTTATATAGGCTAGTACAAGGCAGACTAGGATTTTAATTCATGTTTTCTGACTCAAACCAAATCTAGCATATTTACATAATACGATTCTGTCAATCTCATTATCCTTGTTCTCAACATTGAAGAATGGGCTATATCTCTATTGGTAATTTATAAAATATACCCCTAAATGAAATCATGATTATGTTATATAAATATATTGCTATGTTAAAATATTATGTTCATTATAAACACTCCAAAATAAAATTTCAAAAATGAAAGCAACAAAGAACAAGTAAAAATAAAATTTCTAAAATTTTATTTCTGTTTCTTAAAATCACCTTGTGTACATCCTGGGGTTTTTTCACCCCTTTCAGAGACCACTTGAGTACTGGAGTCAGTTCTTCTTCACTGTATACATCAGACTAGGAGATCCAGCCTATCTGTGCTTCTTCAGAAACTCTCTTAGAAATAGCTTCTTGTCATATCAGTATTGGATGTCAGTTCCAGTTCATAGCCACACTTAAAACTAAATGACACAATAGTAATAGGAGAATATGGCCCCCATCCATGAGTATAGTACAATATGGTAGGAGGGGGTCTTCTGCTCCCTCGTCATCCATCAGGATAAAAATATGGTGTGACAAGGCAGACCCACAGCACAAGACTGAAAGCTTTCCAGTATTTCATTACAAAAGTCTTTACCTCAGAGTCCGAAGGAAATGTACTTCTAATCTCTGTCCTGTATTTCTTTTTCTTTCTTTCTGTTTTTTTTTTTTTTTTTTTTGGAGATGGAGTCTCACTCTGTCACTCAGGCTGGAGTGCAGTGGCACCATCTCGGCTCACTGCAACCTCTGCTTCCTGGATTCACGCCATTCTCCTGCCTCAGCCTCCCGAGTAGCTGAGACTACAGGCGAGCGCCACCACACCCAGCTGATTTTTTGTATTTTTAGTAGAGACGGGGTTTCAATCTCCTGACCTCGTGATCCGCCCGCCTCAGCCTCCCAAAGTGTTGGGATTACAGGCGTGAGCCACTGCGCCTGGCCCCTGTCATGTATTTCTTACACAGTAATTGTTCAAAATATATACTGAGGTCACTACTGAAAATTTAAAACTACTCTACTATGGAGTGAGGAAATCTTGGGGACATGAATTAGGTGCAGAAAGGCAAATTATAAATATACCATTTAGTTATTTTATTTAATTTGGCTTAACAGGTACTAAAGCTTCTATAATTTCCTCCTGTTTCACTTCTTACCAGTACCCTTGCCTTGAACTTTTGTACAGATGGAATGCTCAGGATTAAGATGAAATGAGTGACGGACTTACTTCAAGCTAAAAATGTAAAAGGGTGATCAAAAAACTCGGTAGTGAAGATAAATAATACTTTAATGCAATGTTTTATAAAAATCAAATTAAGGCCGGGCGCGGTGGCTCACACCTGTAATCCCAGCACTTTGGGAAGCCGAGGTGGGCGGATCACCTGAGGTCAGGAGATCGAGACCATCCTGGCTAACACGGTGAAACCCTGTCTCAACTAAAAATATAAAAAAAATTAGCTGGGCATGGTGGCGGGCACCTGTAGTCCCAGCTACTCGGGAGGCTGAGGCAGAGAATGGCATGAACCCGGGAGGTGGAGCTTGCAGTGAGCCGAGATCACGCCACTGCACTCCAGCCTGGGCGAAAGAGCAAGACTCCGTCTCCAAAAAAAAAAAAAAAAAAAAAAAAAAATCAAATTAATACATAAAAATTCATGATGAACAAAACAGAAAAATTTTAAATACTGACAGAGGATACTATCTGCTTCTTAGTTTTTCTAGGATTGTAGAAATAATATACATTCTGTCTAGATGATTTACCTTCACATTTAGGTAAGATGATACTTTATTTCACTCCCCAATGTAAAAATATGCCTTTGATCTTAACTCTAGGAAATCTCCCTTCAGCAGAACATCTTCTGTTTTCAAGTCAGTTCCAGTTAAATTGCTTTCTGTCAAAGTGTAATGTTCCTATCTGGCTATGCCTTCAGCCTTTACAGTCCTTAAAACCTTCAACTTTTAGAAACAAAAGAGATAGTAGAATATATTGCATATAACTGTTTTCATCTCAACTAATAGATAATTTATTGGCTAAGTGGCTAATGTAATTTTTTTAGTGGGAAATTTAATGTATGGATTCTGAGTCCTCTCATTAAATAAAGGGCAGTGATACATTGAGCATCACATTCAACCAGGATCATGGATTTAAAAGTTGTTTCTGTCTTTCTGTTCTATTTTTTGTGTCTGCTTTTTTCTTCTCTCTCATTATCTATTAATCGTTTTCACCACATAGATCAAACTGGGAAGGTGGCCACCAACAAGTTGTAGGTTTGCATATCCTCAGTTTCAGCTACCAGAAAGAAGCTGATAATACTTTTTAGCTCCAGTTCTGAAGTTCCTTGTAAAAGATTCATATCAGCCCAGCTTGGGAGTGCCTATGCCTCGATCAATCGACTTTGACCATGACCACGACCTTGCCCAATCTGGGCAGGGTCAGATTTTACCAGTTTGGTGGTTTGTAGCATGTTCCCATTGTAACCACATAGATAAAGAAATTGGAGGTTGGGCGCAGTGGCTCACGCCTGTAATCCCAGCACTTTGGGATGCCGAGGAGGGGGCGGATAACCTGAGGTCGGGAGTTCGAGACCAGCCTGACCAACATGGAGAAACTCCGTCTCTACTGAAAATACAAAATTAGCCAGGTGTGGTGGCACATGCCTGTAATCCCAGCTACTTGGGAGACTGAGGCAGGAGAATCGCTTGAACCCAGGAGGTGGAGGTTGCAGTGAGCCGAGATCACACCACTGCACTCCAGCCTGGGCAACAAGGGTGAAACTCCATCTCAAAAAACAACAAAAAAAGAAATTGGAGGGGGCAGGTCCCTCGCTAAGCTGCAGCTTGGCAGAAAGAAAGCATCTGTATCTACCACAGAAATAATGTAGTCCAAGCCCTTTATATAATAAATAATGAAACTAAGCCTCAGAAAGGTGGGTTGACTAGGACTAGGGAGAAAGCCAGAGCCAAATCCCAGGTCTCCTTACTGCCAGACTCATGTACTTTTATTCAACAGACATTGACTGAGCATTCGCTACGTGCCAGGCCTGCTTTCGGATGCTCAGGTTGGCTGCAGTAGTAAACAGTGTACTGCTTCTCAAGTCAAACAAATTATTTTCTGATCTATCTTCTAAACAGCTTCCAAACAGCTTCGTTTTTCTCACTGTCTCCAACCTTCCTTATTGAAAACTTCAGAAAATACCCCCTTCATTCTGCCCCTTCATTGCTTTCCCATCGGCCAGTTGACTCTCACATTATCTTTTCACAAATCTACATAAAGATTGCTTGCTCTGATAGACACACAGTCATGAGACACACATTTAACATACACAAGGTTTTTTTTTTTGTTTTGTTTTGTTTTTGTTTTTGTTTTTTTTGAGACGGAGTGTCACTCTGTCGCCCAGCAGGCTGGAGTGCAGTGGCACTATCTCAGCTCACTGCAAGCTCCGCCTCCCGGGTTCACGCCATTCTCCTGCCTCAGCCACCTGAGTAGCTAGGAGTACAGTTGCCCGCCACCACGCCTGGCTACTTTTTTATATTTTTAGTAGGGACGGGGTTTCACTGTGTTAGCCAGGATGGTCTCGATCTCCTGACCTCGTGATCCGCCCGCCTCGGCCTCCCAAAGTGCTGGGATTATAGGCGTGAGCCACCGCACCCGGCTAACATACACAAGGTTTTTGAAAGGATACGGATATTTTCATGATATGGGAGGCACATTGTAAGTGGAGAGGAAAAAATACACTTTTATTTTTAAATTATACCCCTTCTACTACTTTGCCTCAAGGGAAACCATTTATATGTAAAGATTGCAAATTCTTTGGGAGCCATTTGGAAAAACCAAGAAGAAAATAAAATAAAAGGATGGACACTAAATTCAGTCATGGTTTATAGTGAGACATCACACTTGCCATTTGCTGGCTAAGAGACTTTCGGAAGTTCACTTTAACTTCTCTGTGCTTTAGTTTCGTCATTTATAAGAGTAGGGACTAAATCTCTATTGAAATTATTTATAGTCCCTACTCTTACTATGGTCTTAGAAGGATTTGAGAAGCCAATTAAATGTAAAATCCATTCCATTATCAAAATTCTACACTTCCATGATAATAAGTGGTTTCACTGTGCTTTATTTAGAGGTAAATAGCTCTGTGTTTTATTGTTTGTATATAGATCCTGGATCATGTAGTGATGTTCATTAAATCAACCTTGTTTTTGAAAACAAGGTGGCTTTGTTTTCTAATGCTAGCATTATAATAGGTTGTGACCGTCATACTAAAAATATCTGTGTAGGTAGCCGAAAAGCATCTCACACTGGTCCTATATACAAAAATCCCACCCCTCCAAATGATTTGTTCTGTCCCTGCCCACATTAGAAGGCTAAGATATCGTATGAAAATGTAACACACATTATTCAGAGTTCTCCACACATTTCCTTCCTTGAAAATCTAAGAAAAGAGGGATGGAAGAAAAAACATTTCTTTTTTTGCTTACTGGATCACTCTAGTATGCTTATGTGATAAAATTTTTTTAGTCTAGCTTTAATTTCTTTATGACCTGGGCACATAGGTCAGTGTATATATTTTTTTGTCTGATATCAGAACATTTTCATATTGAATTCTATAAAAAATGATCTTGGACCAAGCATCTCCACATTACTCTGTGTTCCCTTGACTACCGGAGATAGCTACGCCTTGGTGGGCCCTAGAAGGGACAGCATGTGAAATGTGCCAGTTCCCAGAAACAGAATACAGTCCCTGTGGCTGAATTTTGGATAGGCCTTCCTGGAAGCAACCGCTCAGGAGTGCTACTTTTAGCAACAATAGCTGCTAAGATATGATGCGTCAGCCAGGGCATTGTGCTAGATCTTTTCTAAGTCTCTTGAATGAGCCACTGTTTGGGAGTGCTTACTGAACTGATAGCTGAATGCTAGTCTTCATGTAATACAGCCATCAATGTTTTTCCCATTGTAGAAGTGTGGAGCGTACCTCAGAAGTGGCCACAGAGGAAACCTTCTGGAGTGGCAACTTTGCAATGGGTGTCGAAAACCTTTAAAAAACACAAAATTTATCTCAGTAATTCTATCTCTTGAGAATTTGTTCTAAGGAAATATGTAGCATATTGGCTGGCACATAGGAAATATGCAAAAAAAAGTAAGCTGTTATTATATAGGTGGTCATCACAGAGTAATTTGTAATGGTGAAAAACTTCAATCAAACCTAAATACCTGGGCTGACACAGTGGCTCACGGCTGTAATCCCAGCACTTTGGGAGGCCAAGGCGGGTGGATCACCTGAAGTCAGGAGTTAGAGACCAGCCTGGCCAACATAGAAACCCTGTCTCTACTAAAAATACAGAAATTAACTGGGCGTGGTGGCGCATGCCTGTAATCCCAGCTACTTGGGAGGCTGAGGCAGGAGAGTCCCTTGAACCCAGGAGGCAGAGGTTGGAGTGAGCCTGGAGCGCACCATTGTACTCCAGCCCGGGTAACAGAGCAAAACTCCATCTCAAAAAAAAAATAAAATAAAATAAACCTAAATATCCAAGAAAAGGAGATGCTGCCACTAAAAGGTATGTCGGTGGTTTCCAAATTTTGGTGTGCAACGGAATTTCCTGAGGAATTTATTAAAAATAAAATTGCCCAGGCCTCATCCAAAATATTCTAAGAATAACTGATAAATTCTAGAGATAAGAGAGAAGTTTGGCTTCATGTGAACTCAATATACAGTATAGCAGGACTATTAATTATGCTTACAATATTATTAAGTCAAAGACTTACTGATTTTTCCTAGCCAGCCTATCTCCCAACCAATCAGTTTATTTTAAAAGGACGTATTAAATCCTTCAGGTCATTGAAAGCAAGCCTGACTTAAAGCTATATCTCATGCAATGAGGTTTTCTTTAAATGGCCATCGTTGTAAAAAGTCTTTTCCTCTCATCCGCTAAATTATATCGTCTCTCTCTCTGGATGGATAGATTAGATGAGATAGATAAATTCTGGATAGATAGATTAGATAGATAGATTAGATAGACTAGATGGAGATATACTATATCTATCTATCTATCTGATCTATAATAGAACTAGATATAGATATTATCTCTATCATCTTTCTATGGACATCTCTTTAATAAAAGAACATTTTCTTCCAAGAGGAAAAGTCCATTTGGGGTAATAATTCACATTTGGGGCTATCTTTCAATCTGCCTTCTCTGGCAGTGTTTTTATAACATCTGTATTGGATTGAAAGGTAGTTGGAAGGCTGTAGTTGTGTATAGTAAAAACATTTAACTACAAACTCTGAATGTTATTCTAGCCTCTAGAGAAATAACTGTGTAGCTATAGTTCCTGTTTCGCTCAAAGAAATATACATACCCCCAAAATGGCCAGCACAGGATTTGCTTTCTTCCAGATGACACATTACTTCAAAAAGCAATGTAATACAGTGTATTGACATGGGAAATTCTAAGTTGTTTTTTTTTCTGGGCATTCCTTGCTGTTTACCATTATTGACTCAAACCATAAAGCCGACCCATCAGCAGCAGAGTGACTCAGTGAGTGTGTATATGTCATGTTTTAAGGAGAGTGTTAAAGTCTTAATGTCTTATTTCTTTCCACATAACAACTTCCCTAATAACAGCAGCTTACAATTATGTAATGCTTATCTGTGTCAGGCACAGCTCAGATCACTTTATCTCAGTACTTATATGTTTAGCTCTCACTCTGTAAGTTCGTAGTAGTATTATTCACTCCCATTTTACAGATGAGAAAACCTAATCCCAGAAAGGTTAAGGCATTTGTCCAAAGTGACAGTTACACACATGCGCAGTCCATAAAGATTTGAACCCAAGAATTCTGAGTCTTCACATGTAATCTCGAAGCCTCCATTTTAAGTATACTGCCTAAGGGCTGAGACTTTTGCTTCGACTGCTGGAGCTGTGGGTGCAGGAGAGAATGCAAAGGACTGAGAGGCACAAAGAAGTGGCTTAAGACAAAATAAAGGGAGAGTTCTGATGGTTGCAAAGTGAAGCCATGAGAGGAGCCTGGACAGAAATCCTGCTCATCTCTGCTTCTGGCTAGCTAAGGCCCCTTAGTAAAGGTATTTCATTTTTCAGAACCTCAGTTTCCTGCCATAAAAAGCTGTTGACAATACCACTTTCATCGTGCTATCATAATTAAACAATATATGCCCAATAGGCACAGAGATAATACCTTAGCTGTCATCTACCTCCATCCCCCATCAAATGCAAAGAAAGAAACTTGAAATCTTTAAATTTACTAAATTACATAGATAGATATCTAAGTAGGCTTTCCTTAGGACTAGAAAACAAATCAAAACAAAGTGACACAACAAAAACCTAAAAAAACGGCTGGCATTTGTAAACATTAGTTTTCATTAATTTAAAATGTTCTTTTTTATTGCTCTCTTAATTTTTTAATTTCTGCCTTCCTCTTTCTCTTCTTTCTCCTCTTCATTCCATTTCTCCCTTCATTTCTTAGTAGAATATTTTTTGAAAATGTCTAGCTTTGACTTAGCTAAATAAGAGGGCAGAAGGATAAGTTTCTACTGAGGCCAAGAAATCTATGGAAAGCTGAGTGCCCTGGGGGACAACCCAGCTGCAAAACAAAAACACAGAAAAGTGCGCTGAGCTGGGAGATGAATATTCTAAAGGGAGGAAGTATGGGGATGATTGAAAATTGCAGATTCTTTCTGGCCTGGGGTTTACTTCCTGGAATTTATGAAGTTCTACTTTGCTTATATATTTGATTTACTTTACTAAAGAGTGGCCCTTTACCTGGGCTGTCTTTTCTTTCTTTTTTTTTTTTTTTGATGGAGTCTTGCTCTGTTGCCAGGCTGGAGTGCAGTGATGTGATCTCAGCTCACTGCAACCTCCAACTCCCAGGCTGAAGCGATTCTCCTGCTTCAGCCTCCGGAGTAGCTGGGATTACCACAGGCGCATGCCACCACACCCAGCTAATTTTTGTATTTTTAGTGGAGACGGGGTTTCACCATGTTGGCCAGGATGGTCTCGATCTCCTGACCTCGTGATCTGCCCGCCTTGGCCTCCCAAAGTGCTGATATTACAGGCGTGAGCCACTGTGCCTGGCTTACTTGGGCTGTCTTATACTACCTTTTATATTCCTTTAGAATCATTCAAGTTGCTTCAGGCACATGTCTCATTGAAATCCAAATTGCAGATTAGAGTAAGAAAGTGTATCTTCCCCTTTGGTTCTATCTCTGTGTGTAAGCAGGAAAGAACTAGATTCTGGGGTCAAAGAGTTCTGAGTTGAACTTTAGCTCTGCTACTTAGTAGACAGGTGACCTTGGGCAAACTACTTAACCTCTCTAGCTGTCCTTATCTGTAAAGTGGAAGTAAGAATAGTAACAACTACATAGGTTTGTTGAGATAGTAAAATGAGATAATGCATGTAAAGCACTAGCATAGAATTGGAGACTAAGAAGTGTTCATTATATGGTAGCTACTATTCTTATTTTTTAGTCTATTTTTCTCTCTCCCACAAGTGCCTATTTAATATAGGTTTGTTGAGCAAACTATAATATACGAATGCAACAAGGATGTACTATTAGCCAGGGAGAAAGACATAACAAAAGGCTTCTTTTCAGGGATTTGACTAATTTTAATATTATAGGTTATATTTTAGATCCAAATCATAAAAGGCAACATAGAAATATGAAAATAGAGTGATATCCAGTACAGTTGTCATAGTGGTTAGGACATCTTATTTGCATACATAATTTTTTATTATCTTAACTACCTTAGTAGAATACCATATTATTTGATATGTTTTTTAAAAAAGCAGGCCATGAAACAAAAATAACAATTTAAAATTGAACAACTCAGTCCAATTTTAAAGCCTAAAAGAGCGGTTATATTTCCCTTCACCCCGCCTACCCCCTAAACCCTGAATTAGCAGCTTTTTGCATGAAAGAGGCTATCCAGCAGATACCTTTCTGCCTCTAAGTAACTTAGTTACTTTTATTCCACTTCAGTTAAATAAATATTTTTTATTCATATACCTTGTACTAGACACCTGGGTTTCAAAAATGAACAAGATTGCCAACGTGTTAAGAACATGAAAATTGTGCTTTTGAGGAATGTGGTTGAGCTCATGGGTGCTTTTTATAAGACTAGGGTGTGTTTAATCTAATCATTCCTTCTGTGTCCTAGTTATAGAACTCAGTGTTTATATGTATTTTCCAGGTTGTTGGTTTACTAGGTTAGTGCGTATTTATTTTACATCTTGTGAATGACAGTCAAAATTTATGCCCCAGAGTCAGAAGCTTGGGTGAACCATTTGCTAAGGCCTGAAAACTACCTTTCTCTCTCACACAAGCAGTTGTTGTAATCAAATTGGCTCCATGCCTAGAGCAGGCTGTGTGACTCAGTGACAGTTGCAATCAGAGCATGGAGTTGGAGACAAAGAAGTCATAGATCAGGAAATCACAGTGACGATGGCCAGTTGGGATTGGATGGTTTTATGAGTGGAATTTTTTTTAAGAATTTTTTTTTCTTTAAATATCATTCATCAAAGACACATTTAATCCTGTTAGTTCTGCATGCGATTTAAAAAAATTGTTCTGGTAATACTCTGTTCAACACTACAAGTAATTCTGCATCAAGAGAAAGCTCCAAATATTCTAACAACCATTCAGCATTTCCAATGATCTTAGATCCACGCTTGGTAAGTGTAGGGCTTATATGCCTACTCTCACTTGAATTAGATCCACTTTATGAAGTCACTTTGATTTTAACAACCACCCCAGGCTAGATTCCATTATTTCTAGTTAAGATAACAGAATTGATTTTAAGACAAATCTGAAGGTAAAAGTTTTCAAATATTTTGAAGCTCACAACATATGTTTTGCGTTTAAAAAGGATGAAACCCTTCAGTTTTATATTCATTAATCTAGTTATCAATAGTTATAAATGTACATGGCAAATGGTAATAAATACTTATATTGATTTGTGACTATTGATCAACTTTAAGGGGAAGGTGTATGTAAAAAATTAGGCAAAAATGAATAAGGGTGTGAAGTTGTGGTAGTTATAATACAATTTATTTTTTCTCTTTTTATGGTATCAGATATATAGTAATACAGGGTAGAAATATTTTGGTGACATCAAAGAAATCATTCTTAATTGCATAGTTGAGTAGTTGAGTACAACTGCCGTACGACCAAGTATCTCAGTCTTCTTATGCTGCTGTAACAAAATACCCGAGACTGGGCAATTTATAAATAATAGAAATGCATTTTTTACCATTCTAGAGGCTTGAATGTCCAAGATCAAGGTGCTGGTAGGTTCAGTATCGGGTGAGGGCATGGTGTCTGATTCCAAGATGGTGCCTTGAGTTCTGTGTCCTCACATAGTAGAAGGTGGAAGGGCAAAAATGGCAGAAGGTCATGTGAAGCCTCTTTTAGAAGGATCTTAACCCGTCTAAAGAAGGAGCCCTCATGACCTAATCACCTCCTAAAGGCCCCACCTCTTAATATTGTTGCATTGGAAATTAAATGAATTTTTGAAGGGCACAAACATTCAAATAATAACACTGGGTAAGGATGAGGGTAATATTGAGATAGTACAGCACTAGATTCTGAAATAATATTCTCACATAAACTTAAAACTTTGGGAGTGGAAAACAACTATTTTACACTCTAGTTGGGAACTACTCTTACCTTTGCTGTTACTTTTGTACTTGGGTAATGTTCCTAAACATGAATCCCAGAATTCTGTATGAGGATTGAAAATGCCATTGAAAAAGTCCTGAAGAATTGTGATGCAATTTGAAACAGAGTAATTGTGTGAGGATTAAACCACATCATTCCAAAGTGAAGAGCTATTACTTGTGGAAAGAATTGGCGTGACCATTGCATGTGATTTAGTTGGGTGTGTACTTAAGGTGAACAGACTTGTAAAATTAGATCACTATGCCAGGGTCTCCAACCCCAAGGGATGTATACAAGGAATGTGCTAAGTGCATATATTTGCATCATTGTATTATTGTAGTATTACATATTTAACCTTATGCAATAAATATTGTTATTATCAACAGATGAGAAAACAGTGGCTCAAGTAAGCTAAGAAACTTATGCAATACCTCAGAGCTAGTAAATTCTAAATCAAGGATTCAAACACTGATATACTGTCTCTAAGGCCTATAGGCTTAATTGGCGTAGAGTGTTTCTTAAGAAGGACCTTAGAATTATTGTGAGAATACTGGAAAGAGCATTTGATTTGGAGTATGATGAGATCTGGATTAAATCTCATTTCTGTCTCTTATGTGCCCACAGGCAAGTTACTTAATCTTTGAGACTCAGTTCCCTTGTAATATCTACTTTGCCGTATTTTCGTAATATTAGAGATAATGTCACATAGTCCATATTCAGGACATGGTAGTTGTGATTTAACTGTTATCTCTGAGTCCAAACAGTTACAGAGAAAGAAAGCTATGTCAAATTTTGAGTGCACTTAACTTTTCCCTTTGTCATTAACCAAGGCTACTGGTGGTTATTTGATAATTTATCTCTAAAATCAAGTATGACCATTGCTGGAGGAAAGAAGACTGTGGAATGCACACTCCTATATTTCAAACAACTTAGAAAATGAAGCCCATTTATTTAATTTACACCAGAGCTTTTGGCACCATGTAAAGTCTTCCTCTGGAGGAAACAGACAACAAGCTAATTTCCCAAGGAGGGAGAAACAATTAGCTAATTCATGAACTGAGGTTGTAGTTACAGTATACTCTTTTGGCCAAAGATAATCATCCCTTAGCTTAAATAACACCAAACCAAGATTACCAATGTCATGACAGGAAGTGCTGCTTACGGATAGGTCAAGCCATAAATTTGAAATTCTGAGATGTTTGGGATGCTCAGAGACATTGAGATTTACATCGGGGATTTCATAATAAAAACAGAAAATCAAACTTACAAGTTATTTTCCTGAAAAACAGACGTATAAACAGAATCCTAATTAATGAATATTCCAGTAATTTTTAAGGAGCTAATATGTCAGAGCTCACTGATTTCAGATCTCTCTCTCTCTCTGTCTCTTTTTTGTTTGTTTTGGTAGGTGCGAAAACTGAAAACGAGAGAAAGGAAACGCTGTGGCCAGGTCCATCTGATACTGTGAAATATTTCTTATCTTGATTTTCTCCTGGATAAGATCCTGGAGCTTGGTGAGAAGTGTAATGTGTAGGGGTTCTAAAAGCCAGAGGCCTTGCTAAATTTAGATTTGGTTCTTGCTTATGTAATTTTCCCTGTGTTTTCAATTATTTATACAAATATATTATTTATATATGTCTGGAACTTGTGCTTTTAGCACTCAATAAGCAGGAATAATTTATAGGATTACGGAGTGCTTCCTGTCCTTACCTTTCAGAGTATGTTCTTTTGCATTGTTAATTAATTGTTATATTTCAGCCTTCCTTTCCCAGCAGTCTTGTGGTGGTGCTTAACTAGTCAGAGAGATAGGATCTATATTTATCATCATATGCATGTTCCAAAATCCAGGTTAATTATTTTATTAGCCATTCCTCTAGCCTAGCTACCCATTGCGGGGAGGGGGCTGCGTGTCGGTGGCATGACCCAACAGGTCATGTTCCTTAAGTACAGTGAGAGCCTGCTGAAAGAGGAAGCCAGCTTCCAGGCCTAAATGGAAGTTGCCTGTGCTTCAGGTTTCTTTTTTGCCTCCACTTTCCAAAAACAATCTAGTTCTTGACCTATCCTTTTCTCCACCCTCCCTCAACACCTTTTTTCCTCTGCTGCCTTGCACTGGCCTCAGGCACCTACCCAGGCTCCTGACCATGGGTCTGGATTTGGGCTACTGCTAGAGACGCTGCCTGATTTTTGCCCTTGTCTCTCTACAGTGCTCCCTTCCAGTTGTTCCCCACGTCTGGCCCTCCTTTTCCTTGGTTCTCACCTTGTCTTGGATTTCAGAGATTCAGGCCCTGCAACACACAGGACTGGATGACAGCTGCTCAGAGTCAACCTGGCACATACCCCAGAGTGGTGCTTGCATGTAAGGAGGCCTAGGCACTCTGGGAATCGAAGGCCTGAAAGTGGCTCCACTGGCTGAGGGCTGGGCAAGGTAGCAGCGCAACATCTACTTCTGCCTTTTTCTCCACAGTCTCCTCAGTATTCCCTGGAGCAAATGGAGAGAGGTGTTGGTTGTTTCCCCCTGAGGCTGGAGTATATTGCTGTCTAATCATAGGTTTCAGAAGAGTAAATATAGTGAGATACATAAACTTTCCCTCTGTGAAAAGGAGGACAGAGATTTACAAACTGAGGTGTGTTTTTTGGCTACTGTCATTTAAAGGCATGAGGCTGGCTGGGTGCGGTGCCTCATGCCAGTAATCCCAGCACTTTGGGAGGCCGAGGCAAGAGGATTGCCTGAGCTCAGGAGTTCAAGACCAGCCTGGCCAACATGGTGAAAACCCGTCTCTACTAAAAATACAAAAATTAGCCAGGCATGGTGGCAGGCGCCTGTGATCACAGCTACCTGGGAGGCTGAAGCAGGAGAATCACTTCAGCCTGGGAAGCGGAGGTTGCAGTAAGCCGAGATCGCGCCACTGCACTGCAGCCTGGGCAACAGAGCAAGACTCTTTCTCTAAATAATAATAATAATAATAATAAATAAAGGCATGAGGCCTTTGGCTGTGATGGAGTCCTTTGAGCTTAGCCTTTCTTGGATTCCTTCTAACCTTTTGACGGAGCTATCAGGTCAGCAGCCCACTCTCAGACCATTTACCCTGAAGGTGAGCAACTAGCTTACCACAGTCATAGATGTTTATAAGGATGTAGACCATCTATGCCTTTGGCTTGACATGAAAAGACAACAGAATATAAACAAAATAATTCATAGGAAAAAGGGCCATTGAAGAGCTTTCCTCTTTCCTTTTCTCAGCATTGTCAGCAATTTGTTTTCTTTTTCATGACATGCTAAATAGGTATCAGGCATAATACAGTATACTAGGTTGTCAGTATGTATTCAATGAAGGATTGTTGGGTGATGAAAGGGCATCCCAGTTTAAAATATGGAACTCTCCAGACCTGGGCTTATTCATACTGGGAACACCTTCTGAAACATCACATATACCTCAGGAGCCCTGACAGCAGCTTTCAAGTCTTAAGGAATGCAGCTGCAGATGCTCCTGGTTAGGTGAGACTGATTGGCCACAGCACTGGCTGTCTGGAGCCTGCCTCCCTGGTCTATTTGTTCTCTAGCACACTTTGATGGATAGATGCCAGAAGGTTCTGGTGCCTTGTGGGGCCAACTAGACGGTCAGGGAACTCCACCCAATCCAAGCTGATTAGGCCAAGTAGGCAGTAGTTAACTGTGTGAAAGGTGAAGGAGAGGATTCTGGGAAAGATACTGTAAATGCCCTCGGCAATGAGTTTTCATAAATTCATCTGGCCACAGAGTGTATACTAGCTCCATATTTAAAATATCTTAAATTTTAAGAGTAATTTATGTTTGTCATTTAACAAATGAAAAAAGCGTAGATGAATATAAGGTAAAAAGTCCCCCTCCGGCCGGGCGCGGTGGCTCATGCCTGTGATCCCAGCACTTTGGGAGGCCGAGGCGGGCGGATCACGAGGTCAGGAGGTGGAGACCATCCTGGCTAACATGGTGAAACCCCGTCTCTACTAAAAATACAAAAAATTAGCCGGGCGTGTTTTCGGGTGCCTGTAGTCCCAGCTACTCAGGAGGCTGAGGCAGGAGAATGGCCTGAACCCGGGAGGCAGAGTTTGTAGTGAGCCGAGATGGCGCCACTGCAGTCCGGCCTGGGCAAAAGAGCGAGACTCCGTCTCAAAAAAAAAAAAAAAAAAAAAAAAAAAAAGTCTCCCTCCTGTGTGGTGATACCCTAATCCTACAATTTGAGTAAGCACAGCTAACAGTGTCTTGTTTATCTTCCCAGGAGTGTTTAGTGCATGTATAACCGGTATAGTGAAGGGGCTAAGACTAAATAAGGTGAAATCAGAAGAGTAGCTTTATTTTTTTCTTTAACCCAAGCCCTTCAAACCCATTCTACCAGTCTCCCTCCATAGACCTTGGACAGTATTTTGAGCAGATCCTATGGGTTTTCCAAACATGTCTAGATGTTAAAACATTCTTTTATTTTAAAATGTATTTAAAAGGTCAATCTGATCAAAATCAAAAGTTCCTTCTCATATCTGACTTTAAACTTCTACCCTCTCCTTAGCTTAGGCCTGGCCTTGGCTCAGAAATCTGCAGTGAGGAGGAGGAAGGTGGAATTTGGCTTGTCTGTCCACTCTGCCTTGCTTTCCCACTCCTCTGGATCCCCTGCTGAACCTGGCTACTCCAGGACCGGGCTGAGGGGCAGGAGGAGAGGTAACAGAACAAGGTCTTGCTCAACAGGTGCTTTGTAATCAGATCAGTGCCCTCTGGATAGTGCATACCTCATGCTGGCTTTTTCCTTTATGGATGGTTTTGTAGGTTTTTCAGAGAATGCCCTCTGCTGAAGCAGCACTTTTGTTCTCTGTTCAATGAATCATTTGTTTTGAGAGATGCTCTCTCAGCTTAGCAGAATGGTTCCCTTCCTTCCACAGAATGTTTCAGCTGGGGTTATCTTGGCCTGGAAGCCAGCTCTCTGGGGGCAAGTTCTTTTCGAGATAGCACTAGCCTGGCAATCTTCCAGGAGGATCACTTAGCCCATGGGAGAGCTTGGCATCATTGCCCCACAGAAGCATGGAGGAACAGCCTATTCCAACCAGAGCCCTCTTTCTTTGCTTTATCCTAGCAGGTCATTCTGGCCACCCTTCAGCCTTTTCCAGGCAACAGGCAGGCACTTCGTTCTGTACCCCTGAGTTCTAGGGAACAAAGGTCAAGCTCACCCAAGGGTTCTCTCACTACACTCTTACAAGAGGAGGAAGCCTTCTGAGTTTTTGAAGATTGGCAACAGTCAAGCTGGGGGTGGGATGCCTTTTCTCCCTCTAGTGAGCCCCCCATTCTCTCCAAAGTTCTCTCTTTTCCTCTAACTTGGCACCCTGTGCAGCTTCTCTCATGAGGCGGGCAATCCCCTGGAGCTCTAACACTATTGGGCCAACAACTCTTATCCAGGTTCTCCTCTTCTTCCTCACTCTGATCAACCTCTAGTATCCTCTTACACAGAGATTGATGGTAGGTGATGGGCTAAGGGTCACAGTATAGGGTTTTGTTCACCATTTAGCAAGTCCTAAATGGATAAGATAGCACCTCTATTTAGAACATGGGGGAACATGTTACTTACTGTTATCAATTTTGAAACCTCAGCCCAAATTCAGAGACAACAGGAAAAGTACACACACTTCTAAATATTGTATATCCTTTTCTTAACTTCAAATGGGAGTATACTATTCTTACTGTTTTGAAACTTGTTTTCTTCACTCAAGAACATATCTTAGACATCTTACATTGTCCATATGTACAGATTACTGTATCTTTCTAATGGTCTATGCACTGTATGTCCATTTTCAGGTTTCCATTATTACAAACAGTGTTAAAATGAATAATCTTTGTACACTTTTGAAAGCGTATCTGTAGAATAAATTTCTACAAAGAGAACAACTTTGAATTCATAAGTAGGACTTTAATATGTCTTGCCAATTTGCCAGTTTTCTATCAGTTTTCGCTGTCACCATTGAGGTATAGGATACCCATTTCTCCATACTTCCACCAAAAGCATTGAAATGTTTTTCAATGTGATAGGTAAAAAAAATCTCTACCTTATTTTAGTTTGTGTTCAACTGTAAACATGGCTGAACATCTTTCCATATGTCGCTTGGTCTTTGATATCTTTTGTTCCAAGTTGCCTTTTCACATCCTTTGCAAGTTTTTGTACTCATGATTTTCATATTGATTTTTAAAGAGCACCCCACATTAAGGACATTAGCCATTTTCTGATACATGAAATGCAAACATCGTCTCCAGTTCTTGTTTGATACATTGGCTTTGTGTGTATCTTTTATTTCTCTTCTCCAAAGAAGTTTTACAGTTTAATGCAGTAAATTCATCACTATGCATTTGTGGCCTCTGGATTTTATGATATCCTTAGGTTATGAAAATATTCCCCCATTTTCTTCTAGTGTTTCAATGGCATCATTTTTTTTTACATTTAAGTTATTGATCTTTATGGAATATATTTTAGGGTAAAGTGTGAGCTTATTTTTATCTAACAAAGCAAACTTTTACATTTATTTTTACTTATTTTTCATTTTAAAATAATTTTTAATTGACTATTTATTTATTTATTTATTTATTTATTTTAGAGATAGGTTCTCTCTCTGCTGCCCCGGGTGGAGTACAATGGTGTGATCATAGCTCGCTGCAGCCTCAAACTCCTGTGCTTAGATGATCCTCCTGCCTCAGCTTCCTTAGTAGCTGGGAGTGTAGGTGCATACCAACGAATTCAACTAATTTTTTTATTTTTTGGAGAGATAGAGTCTCACTATTTTGCTCAGGCTGGTCTTGACTTGCCAAGCTCAAGCAATCCTCCCACCTTGGCCTCCCAAAGTGCTGGGATTACAGGCATGAGCCACCACCCCCAGCCCTCAAAGCAAACTTTTTGCCTCTCAGACTTCAGTAACTCCTCTTTCTCTTCTTCACATCACTAAATGAAAATCTAAATCCCTTTAACTACAGCTTCCCACACAGCTAAAGGCAAAAGCAAATACAAAAGGTAAATTTTGTGTGTGTGTTTTAAATAATGCCCACAGCCCACTTTCCAGGAATCTTAGCCTGAATTTTCTGGGCATTGGTCTCATGGACCAGTGCTTATTTTCATGGCAGTTACAATGGGTTTTCAGATCAGGTGATAAAAAGAGGCAAGAATATTTGCTCCTTCTTATTTTTATAGCAGATGCCAGGAGAGAGGAAGTAATAGGCCCAAGGTCATAGAACAAATTAGAGTGTTGAAATCCAACATTCTGAGCCATCAAGCCTGTTGCACTCATCATTGGACAATATCTTGTAAAAAGCACAGGTAGAAAGCATTCTTCTTATTGCATCACTCACCAAATTACATAATCCACAACAAAAACAGCTAGAGGGCAGTGGGCAGGGTAAAGCTTAGCCCATTGAAATGCACAGATGTTTTAGTGAATTGGGAAAATGGCCTGCTCATAGAGATCATATATAATAATTGACAATGTGAGTCAGAGTTGGGCCTCATTCAGAATTAATCTTATCCTCTTAATGAAATTGCTGATTGTTTTGACTTGCTCCTCTCTGCCTGTTTCAAGTTGCCTGACAGTGTGTTCCAAAGACAGTCCTGCTGGTCTGAGGCTCTATTCTCAAGTGCTGAATTATAGCGTCCATTAAGGAGTTCAGAAGATCTGTTTGGAGAGGCAGGAATCCAGCAAAGCTTCTAATTTTTCCATGATGACTGATGGATTTGGAGCACTCTTAAGGGGCGGCTGTATAATGCTAAGTGTTTAGCATGTGCCAGATTTGTCACCTTACATGAACCCTGTAGCTACCTTTTATTCCAATCTCATCTTCATAGGCTACCAAGAAGTGGTAGGTGGGAGGGGGGAATAGGAGGGAACTGCTGCTTCCAAGGGAAGAAGATTTCTGACTTTGGGAGTAGGGAGAGGTGGGAGGGAACGTGGGCAGTGAAGGGGGAGGCACCAAAAAAAAAAAAAAACCCTGCCTGTGTCCTAATTACCTGGAATATTCCCTGCTTGGATTTCATAGGTCATTAGATTTCTTCCAGAAATGTTGTTTTGCAAAGGGTGTGTGGAGTAAGCAGACCTGCTGGTGAATAGGACATCCCTTCCTAACAACAGGATATGGAAGGGTTCAGCTCCAGGAAGATCTCTGTGCCCAAAATGGTGGAAAGAAGTCGGAAATGGTCTCTGTATGACCAGCTGCTATTTTCTGTAAACTCAAGTGGCTCTGGGGATCGGCCCCAGCACCTCGTAATACTGGGAGACAGTGTTTAATCTTAGGTGCCTGAAGTTCTTCAGTTAGTTTGTGGTTTATGTGGTTAGTGCTGACAGCACCAGCTAAGTTGGAGTTACAGGCAGTGATTGTGCTTGTCATAGAAATGGTTCATTCCTTGATGTGCTTTCAAGTGCTGTGTCCTATGAATCCTGTTGGCAAGAAAACCATCCTCCACCCTAGCACTTACTTAATAAATATGTCTTGAAACACAGCCAAAAATGCATATGTTTGCTGTGCTGTTAGATTCCTTCTTGAAAGGGAAAAGCTCTTCTGAAAGTGATGCACAAAGGATTCTATTAATTAGAAGAACTTATAATGTCTCCCTATGGAATAAAGAAAAAATAATAGCCTGTATTGCTACTCCACTAGTTCCTTTGTTGGACAACATGTATTGCTTTTGCTCCTAGCAAAAAAATTGCTGCTCTGACCCCTCAGTTGTCTCTCTTATCCTTCTGCTGTGCACATACAACTATTCACTAATGTCAACAAGACTTATGAGTGCATATCCGGTGGGGCGGAGGCAAAGGGACTAGATCCCAAAGTCAACATCTTCGCAATGCATCCCAAGATGAAAATGATCAAAGTCTCATTACTCTTCAATGACTAAGAGAAAACAAGGTAGCACATTCAGGACACAGGTTAGAGATGAAACAGAAGATTTTAATTTGTTTCTGATTTATGTTCGTATATGCACCAGATCCAAAAACATTTCAAGTCAAACTTGTCTCTAGGTATGGTAAAATAGGGTCATTGGAACTCACTTGAAAATAGAATTCTAGAAAGTAATTTAAACTTCCAGAAAGCTGGAGGGGGAAAGAGCAGCCATCCAGGCAGAAATCAGATGCTAAAGATTCTGAAACACACTTGGGTGAGTATCATCAGAAGAAAACATGTGTGTTGGATAAAGTAGCTAGAGAGAGGCCTCCATGCCTCTGAGGGAACAGAGAGATTCCTTAGCTTGTTTCTGCCTTGATGAGTTGATGACACTGTAGTTAGACTAAGAGGGGCTCCTAAGAAGACTTAGTCTCAATTCTAAAACCAGTGCTTCCAGACCTCCATTTTATTCTGGGGATAATACACTCCTATTTTCCTTTGTAAGTTATACTGTGTATTCTGTGTCCCCTACAGATTTATACCCCACCCTTTTCCACTCTGGACCCTATGAGGCTGATGTCTATGGCCTACATCACCTGGGCTCCCTTGCCTCTGGCTTTTCTTTGGGTTTGGCTAATGGAAGTGGCTGGCAAAAAGTCAGAGGGCGGCAGGAAAGAGAGATGGATCAACTTTTTCCCCACTGCCCTTGCTGCCAGGCCTCTGTTTATTAGTGGCTGTGTTCCTTAGAAAAGGCCACAGCTCCTGTCAGGATCCTTTCCCACTGTTCAGGTCTCCCTGGGATCCAACAACCACCCCTTTCCCTTAGCTGTCAGGCCTAGGATTGCTAGTGTCTTCTCTCTTTTGCTAGCCCAGAGATGTTTCACCATCCTTCCTTGGCTTTCCTTAACCAGTCTTACTCTTTGAATGAGCTATCTGTTTTCTGCTAGAATTATGACGTGGATATCCATCCATATCAGCACAGCTACTAAGAACAGAAAGCAAGCAGCCAGTCCCTTATCTGGATCCAACAACATACTTTACAGTGTTGTGGGTTTCTGGTAGTTGTTTTACCTTTGGAAATGTTGTTCACAGGCTCCCATTACAAATGGTCACTTCTGCTGTGTTTTACCTCTATCCTCTGGCCATATTAGCTGTTAAGTGACAACCTTGGCCTATCTGCTCTGACTCTTTCTTGCTTTGGATAATTTAAGTAAGTGCTTCCTATGAGTCAGGTACTGTGCTGAGCTTTTTACTTATATATTTTATTAAATCATCTCAATAAATAGGTACTATGTTTGTCCATAGGTCACAAATGAGAAAACTGAGGTGCAGAAAAAGCTAGTGAAAGTTACACAGCTAGGAAGAGCAGGCATTCAAATTCTGTTCTGCTCTAAACTGCAAACCTCTGTGCCAGCTGATCCTCTGGCTTAGATCTCAGAACTCACTATCATTACATGCCATGTTTCTACATACATTGGTGCTTCCCTTGTGTTTTCTAAACCATGGGGTATCTTAGCTATTCAAACTGCTCACTAGGCTTCTAGTCCTGGCCCATCTCCTGTTCCTCCCAATCTGGAGCTTGATCTCTGTTTTAGTTTGCTAAAACTGCCATAAAAAATACTCCTGGGGGGCTTAAACAATAGAATTTATTACTCATGGTTCTGGAGGCTGGAAGTCCAATATCAAGGTACTAGAATTCTAGGTTTCATTCTGAGGACATTCTCTCTGAGGCCAGTTGCTCTGTGTGTGTGTGTGTGTGTGTGTGTGTGTGTGTGTGTGTGTGTGTACATAAGGTTGTCTTTGTGCACATGAGGAGAGTTCTCTGGTGGCTGTTACTCTTCTTAGACACCAGTTCTATCAGATTAGGGCTCCATCCTTACGATTTCATTTAACCTTTATTACCTTCTTAGAGGCCCTGTCTCCAAATATTCACATTGGTGGTTAAGGCTTCAACATATGGGACACTGTGGGAACACAATTCAGTCCATACAGTACCTCTTTAGGAACCCAGACTTAGCATTGATTCCTGAGTCATCATGGTCAAAAACAAAAATCAGATCCTCTAGGGTAGGAAAAAAAATTCCCTCCCCCTCACACCTACAAGGTAGGAATCTTTCTAAATTCTTATAAACAAGTGATTTTTTTTCTAAATTCTTATAAATGAGTGAATTTTTTCAAAAGCATTTGGAAATATTACGTTAAACTGTACATATATGAGGACCTTGATTAACAGAATATTTATTTTTAAGGCATCCCATTCTAACTTCAGACAGAGCAACATTATGTCATCCTAGTAAGATGCGGTCTATGTCATATTTAATATTCTGTGTGAACTTACACGTTTCTGAAGTAGACAGGATTTATTTGTACAGCATGAGAAGGGTGTGGAGAGGAGAGCTGCCAGTCATAGATAAAAACATACTTGGAGGTGTTTAATTAAGAGAAGAGAAGAAAAGAAAAAAGCTTTGAGGGTGAAGAGAAGGGGATGGATGAAATATTTTATCCTTTGGCAAATGTGTTTTCTGTGAAAAATTACAGGATTAAAAAAGTGGTCATGGAAGCTGTTTACCTTCCTTTCCTACTTCTACTCTTCATTCTCATAAATCTGACAAGTTTATTTGTTTCTGCTCAGTTGTACCTCTGGAGAAGAAGATAGGGACTATCTATAGTGGACTAGTTCCAGTTAGCTAGTTCCTAAAGTAAATCTGGCACTTGATAATGAAGAATCTTCACACATTAGGTTATTTTAACTTCCAAGAATCTGGCTAATCTGGTAGAAGTACCATAGCTCTCCAGAGGAGCAATTTATCACTTTGATTAGAAAAAGAAAGCCAGTATTATTTTATACATGGAGAAAAATGTAATAGAACATTATTGGAAATGATTTGCCATTGGTATATATTTTTAACTTGGCATGTGTAGATATATGGAGTATGTCAACATAGACAAATCTTCGTGTTTTGTTTTGTTACAGTGCATGCTATAGCAAGGGAATCTAACAGCACCAGTGGTACTGGCTGTTGGGTTGGGGACATACCTCAGATTAGGTAGCCCAAGCCACTTGTGTTTCTCCAAAGTCCTGTGGGTGTTTTGAACTGAGAGAGTAACACAAAAAAAGAGCATGGGGTCTCTGGACAGTTACAGGTCTGGAGCACCTGGCTCCTGGGATACGTGAGGTAGAACTTGCTGAGACGCAGTGATAGGAGGTTTAATACTCTGGTGTGTCTTAATAGTACTAGTGTAGAAAATCCATCCCTGTTATTACTCTGATCTTTTCAGGAAGCAAAGTCCACAGTCTTTCCCAGGCACTCTTTTAGTCTGTAGTGCTATTATGTCCAACAGTTCTCTATAAGTAACTCCAATCACTTATGCTAAGTGTAAGCCTACTGTCTTTTGTTCTAACTACAGTAAAGCTAAATGTCAGTGAGTCTGCATAATGATTCTTGTCCTTGAAAACTTTCTCTTGCCTTTATTAAATGCATTGTTCCTCTCTGAGTTATAAAAAGACCAAGGAAAAAAGAAAGCAACAAAATGGATGTGTCATTAGAGTGAATATCTTCAGAAAGTTCCTCACACGCCCTGGATTTTCTGATTTTTACCTCTTATATTCTGGAATCGAGGGTGATATGAACACATAACCAGAGCATGTCATTCTTTTCTTCATGAGCAGAAGGGAGGGGTTTTGTGAATTAAAAACTCAAATGCTAATGCCATGGAAAAATTATGACTTGGTATCACAAACGCAGTCAGTGTTTGTGCAGCCTCTCCTACTATGTTTAAACTATAAAACAGAACTCCTGTCTCTTTACATAAGCATAGTGGTATCACAGGGAACTACTTATGTGAGAAGGCTTTTCTCTCTTTCCCTAGTTTTTCCTTCTCTTTTTTAGTGAGTGTGGGGGAAGAGTTTCAGCTCTTAGATGTTGGCCTTTATAACTTCCTTGTTGAAATTGTGAAGTTCCAAAGTTAATGTTTCCCTCAGGGAATTTCCTTGACAAGCAAACAGTTCTTGCCTTATTCTTCCAAGGTGGGAAACATTCAAGGAGGGAGGTCTCTCAGCCACAGCTCTTCCTGGAACATCTCCCCACTCCACTCTGGAATGTGGGGCCTATGGGGCCTGTGGCAGGTGGGAAACCTGTGGAACACAAAGCCCAGTTGTCCCTCTTCTAAAACTTTGCTTTGTCTGTTCAGAAACTGTCTGGATTGAGCTGGTGTCTCAGCACAGAGATGCCATGAGAATCTATGGGAGTAGCTACTCTATCCTTGGGATTGGTCAATGTATTGTCCCCAAGCCTGAAGGACAAAAACCTCACTCATTCACCTGTGCCAATAGACACTTGTGATGGTTAATATTACGAGTCAACTTAGCTAGGCTACAGCACTCAGATATTTGGTCAAACATTATTCTAGATGTTTCTTTTTTTCCTTTCTTTCTTTTTCTTTTTTTTTGAGATGGAGTCTCACTCTGTCATCTGGGCTGGAGAGCAGTGGTCCCGTCTTGGCTCACTGCAACCTCTGCCTCCTGGGTTCAAGCAATTGTTTTGCCTCAGCCTCCTGAGTAACTGGGATCACAGGCACATGCCACTGTACCCAGCTAATTTTTGTATTTTTAGTAGAGATGGGGTTTCACCATGTTGGCCAGGCTGTATTCTAGATGTTTCTGTGAGGTGCTTTTTAGATGAGATCAACATTCAGTCTGTAGACATTGAATAAAGCAGATTACCCTTCATAATATGGGTGGGCCTCATCCGATCAACTGAAGGCCCTAGAAAAAAAGACTGATCTCCAAAGAAGAGGGAATTCTGCCAGCACACTGCCTTCAGACTCAACTGCAGCTCTTCCCTGGGTAGCCTGCAGATTTTGGATTTGCCAACTTCCTCAATCAGCTCCACAATCATGTGAGCCAATTCCTTAAAATCGGTCAGTCTCTCCCTCCCCACCCTCCCCCAACCACCTCTCTCTATACACATATATGCATACATCCAGTTCCGTTTCCCTTGAGAACCCTGGCTAATACGGCATTGACCATACCTTAAAATTGGTTCTTAAAACTTGATCAGAAGTCTATTTGTGGAAGACAGCTATTTGTATTCTACTTGAATAAGTTGGCAATACAACACTTTTCAGGCTGTGGTTCCACATGAGGCTGATAAGAAACATGCAGTCATAGGAGAGACCTCAGGTATAGTGATTTATTCTCCACAACTTGGCTTTCTAAATCCGTAATCTTATTGTGTTGTTCATGTGCTTAAAACTCTTTACTGCCTTCAAGAAAAAGGGTCAAAATGATTAATGTGGCCTATGAGTAGCATGATCATGTAATTATCCAAATGGGAACACTTTTGAGAGTTAAGAGGAGTGCTGTTAATAGGATCCCTGTATCTATAAGATTCTGTCAGTTCTGACCCTTACCTCCTCTAGCTCCACATTCCCCTCCACTCACTTTGTTTAAGTGCCATGCTTCTTCCTGCTGCTGGGCCTTTGCACATGCTAATCTCTCTGCCTGGAATATTGCCCCTCCCACCCAAGCATCCCCCACTCTATCTAGCCAGTACTTCCTCATCCTTCAGATTTACCTCAAATATCACTCACTTAAAGTCTCCTTGGTTTTGGTGTGAAGTTGATATGTTCTCAAAACAGCACGCACCTTTGTAGCACATGCCATTTTGTAATTCTACCTTTTTACTTTTATTTGGGTCACTATTTGATTCAAATTTGTCTCCCCAGCTGACTGGAAGCTCCACCAATGCAGGGATTGTACCTGTGGTTCCAAGGCTTATGTGCTTGGCACGTAGTAAAACTTCTTCCAAATACTTAGTAAGTAAATAATTGAGTGAATCCTAACCATTTGAACCCCTTATAAGTGAAGTGTTATTTTCATTGGCTAGAGGTTAAGGAAGCCAAGGTTGATATATATGCCCTTGGTCACATCGTGGCAAAATTGACACTTAACCCTAGGTTGGTTGACCCAGAGTCCATGCACTTTCCTCAACACCAATCTGTTTTTCTCTGCACCTACAGAAACCAAAGGCAAAACTCCTATCTGTGGGCTTCTCATATTGTCTCATCTCTAAAAGCACATCCAATCCTGACACTACTAAGAGAAATGAGAAAGCTATCTCTGTACTTTCGACGGAACCAATCTTAGAGTAATTGTCTGGAGATTATGGAACCTATTGCCTCTGAATAATTGAGTAACAGAGTGAATCATATCACTTGAAGGTGAGAATAAGTGTGTACAGAATTTTTGTTATCCCCAGATTTTAGAGCGTAAAATGTTTGATCTCATGAAGGGAAGAAAATATAACACGGTTATATTTCATAAAAAATTGAGATTAAATCTCATGTTCTATTTTTATGCAACTTAAGGGTGTTTTAGATATAATTATAAAGAATCAGAGCAACTGTTTCCTAATTGATTCCTAAGTAGCAATACTAAACCCTCTCTTGGTTATCAGGTAGATAATTTCATGATTCCATTTCATTTTAGAAACACAATAGCTTAAGAATTGTGCAGCCTTCGGTGGGTATCATGTAATGAGCAGATAGCTCACAGACAGGGAAACTTACAAAAATCTGATCAAAATGGTCTTATAGTCCTGTCTCCTTAATTTCATACCCACAGGGCAGATTCACAGCCAAGTCTGAAAGACTTGACAAAATAGGGTTACATTGGAAATGCTGACATGAGCTCAGCAGAGGAATGGTCTTACTATATTGCTGTAACAATCTGAGCAAAAAAAAGAATATTTGTGTGTGTGTGTGTGTGCACTAATCTTCAAGCTACCTCTACGTGACTTGAGAATATGCCACTGAAAGCAACATAAGTTGGCCACATAAATTGTGCGTACATTCCTAGTGAACAGGGCTCTTGATCACATTCCTGCCAATTATGTTGTTCTTCAAAATATCTGAACTAAGTCTTAACATGTTAAGAATGCTCAGGAAAAAGGATAAAAAAAAGTACCAGTGGAGAATTTTACTTCTCTGTTATGAAAACAGAAGAAAGAGGGGCTTATTGGAATAGCAAGTCAAGACTGTTTGCAGGCGACTTCTACTCAGGTAAAGTGACTGATTTATAAGTTACTATGAGATAAATTTGGGTTGACTTGATGGCAAAGAACTTAAGGGACTTTAGGAAAAATCATTTTGGTAGTACCTATCCTTCCACAGGACTTCTTTTTTTCTCATGACATTTATCTTACTCTGGGCTGAATAAATATTTGTGTTTCTACTTTACTTTTCATATCTGCACTCCCACCTCCAGCCCCTTAGACTTATGTTGCCAGAGGGCAAGAAATATGTTTTATTACTCTTTTAATACCATATGATACTCAATAAACTGCAGTGAACATAGCAAATGCAAAATACGCATAAACTGGCTAATACGATTTAGTGCCAGGCATGGTGGCTCATGCCTAATCCCAGCACTTTGGGATGCCGAGGCGGGCAGATCACCTGAGGTCAGGAGTTTGAGATCAGCCTGGCCAACATGGTGAAACCCCGTGTCTACTAAAAATACAAAAATTAGCCTGGCTTGGTGGCAGGTGCCTGTAATCCCAGCTACTTGGGAGGCTAAGGCAGGACAATCACTTGAACCCAGGACGCGGAGGTTGCCGTGAGCCGAGACCACGCCATTACACTCCAGCCTGGGTAACAAAAGCAAAACTCCATCTTAAGAAAAAAATTAATAAAATACTATTTAGTAACTAGCGACCTGAACACTGTAGAATATGGGCAGACGAGATATGTTCTGGCAGGTAAAATAATGACAACTCTTGACATTTTGAGAGCAATCTGGGCCTAAGATTCTTTGTGTGTTTTATTATTAGCCTCTTGAGCACTGGGGCTCTTAGCCTGGACCAGGTCACCTGCCAAACCAAATTGGCAGAATTGTTTTCCCTTTACAGGATCACTTAGGAGCCAGTTAATGCAATCATCCTCACTCAGGCTGTGCAGTTAGGCAAACTTACATTTGAACCCCAGTTTTGCCAGTTACTGGCTGTGTAACCTTGGGCAGATTTCTTCACCTCTCTAAGGGAAATAGTCTAGACAGTTTCCAGAGGTGAGTGCCTATGGCTGGCAGGCTTTCCATATGCTCCCAGCATTTGCGTAAGTGAGCTATGTTCACTTACAAGGCAACAGAATGGGAATATTTGGAAGTCAAAACACATTTTTTGGACACAGAAGAGAACCTGGAGGTGAGTGGGCTTGGAGTTTTGTCTAGGACTTTGGCATTAGCTGTCATCCTAATTTTATCTGGCAAAGTAGGATAGAAAGCAGCAATTAGCCCTTATGGTTTGATCTGCAAACTGCTTCTTGTGCATTGAAAGTTGATTGACAATTCTGAATGCACACCATATATAATCCTGAAGCTCTACTGCTGAGGTTGCTGCTGGGAATCCCAATATTATCTCCACTCCCTTGAACTGTGCAAGAACTGTGGAAACCCCCAGATGTTGCTTCTTCCACACTGACCCGTGATAGGAAATGAACATGTTACACACTTCTAGGTTTTTAGGATTGGGGAAATGGAATAACTGACATTTCTGAGAAGTCCATGTGACCCACTCTAAAAGTCTGAGGTTTCAGATTAGATGTTGGCATCTCACATCCTAAACTCTACCCTGTGCATTAAGAGTTTGATGTATATGCATAGCTGATTATGTGTCCCCAGTGGCACATAGATGTGGTGGTTACTTCTGGGGAGACATTATCCACATTTTACAGACAGTTGGAAAGAAGACCTTGGAGTGAAGCTTCTTGCCCAGGGCCATGAAATGGGTCTATAGTAGAGGCAGAAGTCCCAGGATTTTAGGTCCAATTGGTTTGATGTCCCGGAAAGGTCTTTTCGGTATTGGAAAGTGAGGCAGCTGGAACATGGCCGTCTTCCCCTTTGCCTCTCTCTGAAATGGGTTACATCATCTGATTCTCTGAAAGTAAGTTTATTTTTTAAAAAATTAGTGGGGATTTTTTATTACAAAGGATGCAGCATTTTAACACCACTGCATGATTTGGTGAATCATTTCAGTGATTACTTACTTAACAGGTATTTCCCTGAGGCCACACCAGTCATGGGATAGAGCTGGGAAGTCCTACTGTAGCAAATTGATTTTTCAGCTCCTCTTGCCCATGACCTGTGGGAACTTCTATCTCAATTCAATCCTTTCCTCTGCTCAGACAGTGGAGGGGAATCCCTGAGGGGTAGGGGTCTCAGGAACTGCAGTCTTTCCCACAGACTTCACCGCTGTGTCTGACAACACTAGTTTCCTGACCCAGCCACCAGCCACAGAACCATCTTCCAGTCTTGTTAGCGCTGTCTCTGAGGCCTGAATGTGCCACATGCCCGTGCAGAATGCTTTTTTCTTCTTTCTTTCCAGTGGATTTGGCCATTTCTCTACTAGAGAAAGCAAAGAGGCTGATTGACCCTGGGGTCCAGGAGCTTTCTCAGATGATCCGTCTCTTCTTCAGCAACCTGTATCTGCCAGTTCCATCTTATTCTCCTCTTGAAGCAGTGTGGTCCTTAAGAACCATCCTGGTTTGTCCTCCTTTCTACCCTTCGTGACATTCTCAGGATCTCCTCCTCCAGCTCCTTCTTTCCACTTCTATCAGAAGATTCCTTCCAAAATAAAACCAGCACATTTTTTTGGTGTGGGTTGGAGAAGCAGAGCGGGGGGCAGACTTTTGTTTCCACTGCTTGAAAGGAAAGGAATCCAGGATATCAGCACACAAAATAAGGAAGTCATTTAGATCTATTTGTAGCCTTAACTCTGGCTCTCTAGAGTTAAGGCTCTTTTTGTTTGTTTTTCTGCTTCGTTTTTAAATTAATAGGCTTTGTTTTTTTAGAAAAGTTTTAGGGTTACAGAAAATTGAGCAGACAGTACAGAGGGTTCCTGTCTACACCCTCTCCTCCACACTCAGTGAGGTTTTAAGTACTCAGATGTGGAACTCATGAACTACTGAAAGAAGAAACACAATCTTGTGAATAAACACAGCATTTCTAACCTGCAGAGCTGCTGAGACATGCAAGGAAATAATGAAATCAGCATTTTAAGTAGATCGTTTGTCATCTTTCGACCATAGGTTATTAATAAAGGCAAATTACTAGATATTTTAATTGCTTAGCACTTTTAATCATTCAAATAAGAAGCAAAACTAGTGAGGAATGTTTATGTTATAGTTTAATATACTTTTTTTTTTTAGTTTAATATAATTGAGTAAAATTCTAAGAATAGCTAGAATTTTCTAATTGCCTACCTCCTTTTCTAGTTGCTTCTGTCCTGGGTTCTCATTCTAGTCTAGACCATTTGTCCAGAACCACAAATTGATTCTTAAAAGCTACCTGTGGTTGCAGTATGGGAGCAGAGTGGGAACTCTATTAAACTGTGTGTGGTTTCGTCTTTCTGCAGCTAAATCCTTAATGCCTTTAAAAGGGCCAGGGAGTTTGAAGTCCTTTCTAATGATCTAGTAATGGTGGAAAAAGCTTGTTGAAAGGTTGTAAATATTTGTTGATTGATTGTCAACAGAGAAAAAGGCTTTTACTCCTCCAATAGCATCAGGGAGGAGGGGAAGGGAGGAAGCTTTTACACACCCATTTCAATTCAGCTTTTTTATTTCTCATACTTTGAGGCCTGGGACATGTATTTCAAGAATAGACCTGTTCTTTCATCTTCAAAAGAGAGAAATTAGAATAAAACAGTTGTCTGTTTAAGTTTCACTCTATAACACAGGGAAATGTACAGAAATCAGTTCCCAAGTTGGACAAGGCTAAGCACAGCTCTTCATGAATAAGAACTAACTTTTATTTTCAATCCACTGAAGGGAGTAGGTGGAGTAGGCAGCTGCTGATGTCGTGAGATTCGAACATTACCAACAGACTTGCCTGCACAAAAATATCTATCCCTTGGGTCTATCATAGATACTGTAAGGAAGCCAGCCATTTGAACTGCTTTTCTGGATAAAGACACTGTCTCCAGTTGGTGCCATTAAAATGCACATCTATTCCTTAGGAAAGGTAAATGTTAATGCATTATAAAAAGTTAAATTGTGTGTGTGTGTGTGTATGCACATGAACTTTTTATTTTGAGATAACATGCAATTGGAAGAAATAATACCAAGAGATCCTGTATACCTTTCACCTAGTTTCTTCATCTTGCATAACCATAGTACAATATCACAACCAGGAAGTTCACATTGATAGAGTCTGCAGACTTTATTCAGAGTTCCCCAGTTTTACCTCTATGTGTGTGTGTTTGTGTGTGTGTGTCTGTATGTATTTAGCTCTATGCAATTTTATCATGAGTAGATTGGTAAGGCCGCCACTATAGTCAAGATACAAAAGATACAAGATGCAAAACCTATCACAAGGTTCCCTCACGCTACACTTTTTATAGCTCTCTCCCTGCCTACCCACCACCCCAACCCATGGCAACCACTAATCTGTTCTCCATCTCTATAATTTTGTCATTTTAGGAATGTTATAGGCATGAAATAAACCTTACTTCCATTTAGGTCCTTTGTCTTCCCCACTTGAAAAATATAATTGTCTTAAGTATTTCCTGTACATATATTGAGCACCACATCAGATGGTATTACAGTCTTTGCTTCAATAGTCAAATGATTTTAAAAATTCAGGAGAATAAGGAGAGTCTATTATATTTATCCTTACTTTTATCCATTCTGGTGCTTTTCTAGGTAAGGTGAATTTTAAAATTTACTAATCACAGGCTTTCTTTGTTAATTTTAAAAGTTATTTATTTATTTATTTGAGGTAGGGTCTCATTCTGCTGCTGAGGCTGGAGTGCAGTGATGCAATCATAGCTCATTACAACCTCGAACTCCTGGGCTCAAGCAGTCCTCCCACCTCAGCCTTCCAAGTAACTGAGACTACAGGCGTGCACCACCGCACCTGGCTAATTTTTAAATGTTGTTTTAGTATAGATGAGCTCTTGCTATGTTGCCCAGGCTAGTCTCAAACTCCTGGTCTCAAGCGATCCTCCTGCCTCACCCTCCCAAAGTGCTGGTATTATAGGCATGAACTACTGTGCCCGGCCTCTTTTGTTAATTCCATGTATTGTTAGGATTTATGCTCATACAAATAGCAGAACATTTCAAATAAAACCCTTATTGTAAAAGATACTATAGCGCTTGATAAGCAACCAATTTGATCAGAAAGAATGAAGAAAATTTGGCATCATAGAGCACTCCTGGAGAGAGTAGATTTTGTCCAGTGTTTTCCTATCTTTTCTATAGTTAGCGCTGTTCATGACCATCTGAGATTATGTCTGTTGTTAGGAAGTTACGTCCTCATAACTCATTATGTGTTCATGATATAACATGCTATGCTGTTCATAGTTATGAAGTTATATCCTCAACTGTGGTTGAACCCTTGAAAATATGCTATAATCACAGATTTTTTTCCCCTGTATTTTACACCTTTAACACAAATAGAAAGACAATATTGCAACAGGGCTGATTAAATAAAGCTACTTTCCTCTGGAAACCAGGAATTCTAGTATTATTGCAGGGGTGGAAGTTGAATTCGGGGCTTCATGCCTCAGTTGGGCTTACTGACCTCTGTTCCAATGGGTTCTTTGGAACTGTTGACCCTCATGATTTACACACAAACAAGCTTTTAGTGGCCAATACGTATTGGTAAACATTATATAACCTCTGTAGAAAGGTTCCAAGAAGTCTTGTGTTAAGAAAACCTATTTTATTTTTTAACTCAGAGTTTCTTTTCCGCTTCTCTAGACCTTATATTTCTTTTTTCTTTCCTTTAGCTTTTTAATTTGGAAATAATTTCAAACTTACTGAAAACTTGCAATAAGAATAGTACCAAGAACATCCATGTATCCTTTGCCTAGATTCACTATTGTTAATATTTCATCCTGTCAAGCCAGGATTAAAAGTAAAAAATATTTGTTGGGAAAAATGCCTGTGAATGACAAAGTGGGAAGAGAGTAGAAGTAGGCACAGAGTGCCTCAGGCTGAGATGCAGGTCTGACACCTGTGAAGGGAGATGGGGGTGAAGGAAGATTAAGTGGGAAGAGGCTGAGACTGTAGAGCAGCCATGAGACAGTCTCAGCCAGGTCCACCAGGAGCTCCAAAGCAAAGATTTCTCCTTAGAGGAGCCCTTCATTGGGCAGGAATGACAAATGTAATTCCCTCTCCATGCTCAGTTATTGGTTAGGAGCAGGCTGCAGGGGTGTGGTCTCAGCAGAAATTCTGTGACCAATTCAAAGATGTGGCATCCAGAGGTCAATTGCATTCCTTGCAGCAGGTTCTTTCTTGACAGGAGATCTGAGAAGCATACTGTTATGATGACCTTTCTTTGTCTTTTATGACATTGACATTTTTGAAGAATTTAGCTCTCCCTCTCCTTCATAATAAAACATTCTTCATTTGGGTTTGAGGTTTAACCCAGTATTTTTTTTCACAGACCTTTTTACTGATAATTACCTATTAGCATCCCTTTGGACTTGTATTCTGTAGAACACACTTTGGGAAACTGCACAGATGTTGATGTTGCTGCTAGAAATGATATTTGGTTAACCTTGGTGTGTCCATAAGGGTATTACCGGATGAGATTAACATCGTTTTTTTGTGGGTTGGGGGTGTTAACAGGATCTTGCTCTATTGTCCAGGGTGTGATCATGGCTCACGGCAGCCTTGACCTCCAGGGCTCAGATGATCCTCCCACCTCAGCCTCCCAACTAGCTGGGGCTACAGGCATACACCACCATGCCTGGCTAATTTTTGTATTTTTTTGTAGACAGATTTTTGCCATGTTGCCTAGGCTAGTCTTAAACTCCCAAGCTCAAGTGGTCTGCTTGCCTCAGTCTCCCAAAGTGCTGGGATTACAGGTATGAGCCACTGGGCTGGCTGAGATTAACATTTGGTTTGGTAAAATGGGTACAGTAGATTGCCCTCCCCAGTGTGGGTGGGCCACATCCAATCTGTTGAAGGTCTGAATCGAATAAAAGCCTGACCCTCCCCTGAGTAAGAGAGAATGCTCCTTGATGGACTGTTTTTAAGTTGGAACATGGGTGTTCTGCCTTTGGACTCATACTTGAACTGGAACTTACACTATTGGCACTTTTGATTGTCAGGTGTTTGGACTCGGACTGCAACCATACCATTGACTCTCCTGGGTTTCCAGCTTGCTGACTACATCTCTTGGACTTTACCTCCATAATCACATGAGCCAATTCCTTACAGTAAATCTTTCTTTCTCTCAGTACAGATATAGATATAGATATATATCCTGTTGGTTCTGTTTCTCAGGAGAACTCAGACTAATATACTCCCTTAGTCATGCAATCATCATAAGCTATTTGGCATGACAGCATCCTGAATGGATTGCTATTTGAACTAAGGAAAGGGTCAGCTCTTAAACAGGGCAATCAACCAGGGAGCTAGTTTTGCTGTGTCAACAGGGTTAAGGCACTTCGTGGGAGCAAAAGAAGCTCCAAAGAAATGCCAAATGCAGAACTAATTACCTATTACTTAAATAGTAACTGATGGTTTGCCAGTCATAGGAGTGCAGGCCTTTTTGTCTCTCTGAATATCTAGTTGACCATTTGCTAGAGAGAAGTACTTGCTTGGACTCATGCTTACTGCATCCATGTCTTTTCCATGCCTCTCTCAATTTGTAAAACAAATGGCCTCTAGGTTTCTGGTCATATATTTAGAGACTTAAGAGCAAGATACTCCCTTACATTTAAAACACAGAAAAACTTGGTGTTGTCTCATTAGGACAATAAAATCTTTGTGCCTGATTATATTGTTCAAAATGGCCAAAGCAGTATCTCCACTCCTACATGCTCTTATAGAACCAGGCTACTTTGCATTAAGAGATGGAGTTTATTTCCCCTCTCCTTGAACCTGAGTAGGCTTGTCACTTCTCCAGCCAGTAGGGTATAACAGAAGTGATGCTGTGTGACTTCTGAAGCTAGGTCATAGAAAGGATACGGCTTCCGCCTGGCTATCTCTTTTGGAATGCAGCCATAGTATTGTGAAGAAGCCAAGGTCACATGGAGGGCCCATGTATAGATGTTCCAGTCAACAGCTATTAAGTTCCCAGCCGACAGCTAGCATTAATTGTGAGTGAATAGGCCTTCAGATGATTCCAGCTTCCAGCCTTCAATTCTTTCAGTATCAGACATCTTGGAGCAAATACAAACCATTCTTTCTGTGCCTGTCCAAATTTCTGACCTACAGATCTATGAGCATAATAAATAGTTGTTTCAAACTACTAAGTTTTCTGGTAATTTTTAATGTCAGCAGAGTAACTAAAACAAAACTATTGGCCAAGTTCAATACTGTAATCAGTCGACTATTCAACAGTTAGGTATTATGAGCCTGCTCTGATCAAAGTACTCTGCTAGACTTGTGGAGTTTGCAACAAAAAACAAGCAAAAGCAAAACCAAAGAATATTCTGTCCTCGAAGAGTCCAGTAGTCTAGTAGAACAAAACAAATACGTAAGAGCAAAAAGGTGGCTGTGGCTAACAATATGTGGTAAGTGACAAATGAGATAATAAACAATCACTATAAGGGGGTTGGATGGAGGGAGAGGTCACCCTGGGTAGAGCGGAGAGACTGGGCTTCATTATGCAGCAACACAGCACCCCAGTACACATCAAATACCTGAGATCTGTTTGTTAATTTTACTGGAGAAGAATACAAGTTGGTGATTAAAGAAGAGTATCAGGTACTTGGAGAGGAAAGATGAAGGTATTTCAAGCAGATTAGAAAACAGAAAGTTGGGTCTGGAATATTGACATGTGGTTAATAGCATTCACTCCTTTTGTGTGTAGCAGCATACACTTCACAAAGCACTTTCGCAGATTTTGTCACATTGAATCTTAGCAATGATTGTATGAAGTAGGTTATCTTATCTGTATTTATGGATGAAAAAATTTAGACGCAGAGGTCGAAAAACTACTTTGGTTTTAATAGAAGTTTCTGGTAGGAGGAGTGGTGAATGACAACGAAAAGAAAGATGACTCAATTTATTGAGCACCCGCTAAATGCCAGGCATTTTGCTTGGTTATTTTCATAATTTGTTTAACAACCTAAAATTTAAGTTACAACAACCCTAGAAGCAATTGTTATGATCCCGGTTATATAGATGAAGAAGTTGAAGTTCAGAGACATCGAATAACTTGCTTAAGGTCATGCAAGAAGTAAGTTACGACCTGGCAAGATGCAATGGCAAGTTCAGCAGGCCTCCTATATGCCTGCAAGATAGAGTCTCTCTGCTTCTCTCCACATACATAGATTCAGACAAACCTCCCTTTTACACATTCACAGAAGCATCTGGATATCGCCCGTCAAAAGCACTCAAGGCATTAATATGGAAATAACCAATGGGTTTAGCACCTTCAAAAAAAAAAAAAAAAGGCGGGTGCGGTGGTTCACGCCTGTAATCCCAGCACTTTGGGAGGCCAAGACAGGTGGATCACGAGGTCAGGAGATTGAGAGCATCCTGGCCAACATGGTGAAACCCAATCTCTACTAAAATACAAAAAATTAGATGGGCATGGTGGCTCACGCCTTTAGTCCCAGCTACTTGGGAGGCTGAGGCAGGGGAATCGCTTGAACCTGGGAGGCGGAGATTGCAGTGAGCCGAGATCGTGTCACTGCACTCCAGCCTGGCGACAGAGTGAGACTCTGTCTCAAAAAAAAAAAAAAAAAAAAAAAAGAGATAGTTGTTAATCTCAAGGAATTTCCAGTTGGTAGAATGTAAGGGGGAAATCTGTCTCTCTCTCTCTCTCATAAGCTGGAGCACTGCTGATATACCCAATAGTTAAGTAACAAACCAGGACTATGATCTTGAACTAGCCTCTACCTCCTCTGGGTTTCAGCTTCCTCACCTGGAAAATGAAGGGATTGCTGGATGATCTTCAAGGTCCCTGCCAGATGGAATTTTATGATTCTGTAAACCCAGAACTAACGTGTAAAATGGGGAATTCGTCTTAAAATTTTTTTCAGCATCATTTAACCTTTGTCTTCACCTTTGCAAGTGAGTCTGTTCCCAACCTATGTGAGCAAAAGATCATTACTGACAAGAGTGGGGCTTGGAGTAGTGATGTTCTGAAGCACATACCAGATCTATCTGTTGATGGTGCTTTCAGAAGAGCCACCAATATTTGGTAGATCACTGTAAACCTACAATTTCAAAGTTATTTCGGTAAAACTGCTTTACATAGTGAGTTAATTTTCCATACTTTGCTGTCTTAGGTTTTCCTCTGTTAAATACATGTCCATTATTTTGGTTGATGCTTTTGAGATGTTCCCACTAGGTGAGATTGCTCTCAAAATAAATTCCAATGATTTGGTCTCATCAAATGGCAGAAGGTTCTAATTGTATAAAACTACCACTAAAAAATCGGTGGCAATTTGGACTTGCATAAAGCACAGAAATTGTGATGTTAATTGCTCTCCTCTACCTTCTCTCTGTGTTAATTGCCACGGATAATTGCCACCTCCCAGCTAATCATGGAATATGGGGATGCTAGGTAGACTGCCCTCCCTATCTGTATTAAACCATTTGTGACAAATAAATATGCAAGAGGTGGTAGGCAAATGAATTTATGTCCTTAATTTTATTGCTTGTATTGAGTTAATGTGTTCCCAAACTCTTCTTTAATTGCTGTGTCCTTGTCTGTTATTGAAAACCTGGGAAGTTATAAGTTGTTACATAAGATGTCATGACAGGTAAACTCTTATCTCCAGAAGTTGACTTATTACTTATATTATCTTGTATTTATACTTAGGAAATAGCAAACAACTTGACAGCATTACTTTCTTCGTCATTTTCAATTGCTTGTGAAACAATTTATTAGTACAGACCTTCCAAAAAGCCACATTCAGCAAAAGATTTCATAAAGCTTATAAAACTTTATTTCATTTATGTCTTTCAGTTCTTAACAAAGATGAAAGAATATTTCCTTTTTAGGAAGTTTCCTTTTTAGGTCTCATTTCATACAGACAGCCCTTGAGTGAGAGTCCTTTGCTCCAAATGAAAGAAAATTTAGCTTTGAGTATGATCATTTCAGAATGATACTCTGAACAACATGAAAACTAATTGCTACCCAACAAAAAGATAAAGGATTGACCCAAATTTTCCTATCCCCCCCTTATTTCCAAATATTCTAAAGGTCCTCTCTGGTTCTCCCAGCCTACCATGATTAGTCCAAGCCCCTTTGCCTGCAATAATCACATGCTAGTTGTAAAAACATTAAAAAATGCTGATACTGTGACTGGTGAACAAAATCATCATTATTTGATGATGCCCAAATCTGTCTCAAACCACATTTTCTGCCATGGTGGTAAACATCTGACCTCTATTAGCATGTATTTTAAAAAGTTTTTTTTTGTTGTTTTTTTTGTTTTGTTTTTTTTTTGAGATGGAGTCTCACCCTGTCACCCAGGCTGGAGTGCAGTGGCGCATCTCAGCTCACCGCAAGCTCCGCCTCCCAGGTTCACGCCATTTTCCTGCCTCAGCCTCCCGAGTAGCTGGGACTACAGGAGCCCTCCACTGCGCCCGGCTAATTTTTTGTATTTTTACTAGAGACGGGGTTTCACCGTGTTAGCCAGGATGTTCGTGATCTCCTGACCTCGTGATCTGCCTGCCTCAGCCTCACAAAGTGCTAGGATTACAGGCATGAGCCACTGTGCCTGGCCTTAAAGAAGATAATTTTTAAGGGTGCAGTAAATATATGCTGAAAAGCTTGAAATCAACAACTGTGTTAGTCTCAAACAGCCTTCAGCTCCACAAGCACATTAGCAAACCAAAAAAACAGGGTTAGTGTAATATGTTTTAATACTTTTTGAAGAATGCAACAATCCCATAGGCCATTACTGACTAGAAATGGTGACATTTCACAAGTGTCCCAAACTTGGGATTTATTGAGCTTCTCCATAGTAGAGTGTCTTTTCAAACTTGCTTCTATTAGTTTTCATCATCGCTGTTTTCTTTATTATGGTTGTTTCCAACAGTTTAAATAGAAAAATGCTACACATATTTCAAAGTGAGGAGCCTTGTATAGACCGGCATATAAGCACAGGAAGTAGCATTTAAGCTACACAAATGTTTCCCAGCCCTTGCCACTGAATAGGCCCATTGTTCTCCATCCAAGCTGTACGTCATGATCATGTGTGGGGTTTAAAAAATATAGATTTCTAGGCCCTGCCTTGGAGATTCTCAGTTGTTCTGAGGTGGGGTTGGGGGATGGTCCAAACTTCTATAGTCAAAAAAAGTGCCACAGATGTTTCTGCTGCACAGTGATCGCTGAGGTCTTGGATTTAGTAAAGCAATACCAAGAATCTTAATTTCTTGTCTGTTATAAAATTTTTAAAAGGCAGTACCTACAAGTTAAACTTGGGTGAAAGTGCCAGTTCCACTGCTTACTGTGCAAACTTGGGCAAATCTCTTACTGTTTCTGAGCATCATGGTTTTCATCTGAAAAATGGGGAATCATAGTTTCCTAATGAAATGTGGTGAAGATTAAACGAGATAATGTATGTTACCTCATGTTCCCCAGTGCCTTAGTAAGCACATAATATGTAATAGTTATGATTTTATTCCCCTTTGTGTATGTCATCTGGAGAAATTTATACCTGAGAGATTGAATATGAGAGATTATTCTACCTACCTATGCCCAGGGGGACAAGGGGATCTATGAGAAACTAAAAATTGTAAAACCTGGCTGTTGACATCTAAACATTTGGAAATCAATGGCTAGTCATCTTTCCTACAGAAGGAAATGGAAAAATGAAACCACCCTTCTTCATTATGAAGGAAGATGCCTAAGAAGAATGGTTCTCTGAAAAACAAGATGTAACAATGGCTGCTGGTCATTGACCAACTTCAGCAGGAGAGATTGCTGATCTCTTGTTACTCTCAACTCCCACTGTGGGGGATGAGGCAGGTCTCTTCCCTATTCTCTTTTTCTACCATGGTTATTCCTGCTGCTTTGCCTTGGTTTTTCTGCTCTTCCCGTATCACTTAGATCCTATATATTCTTGTCTCTTTTGATCAGCCCAGCTTTCAGTGAAGCTTTTCTTGCCCCCATTTCTTGAACTTCTGTTGTCTTAACTAGTACCTTGAACTGTATTCATTTTATTATTTTGTTGTTGTTAGTCCTGTCTTTCCAAATGGACTTCAAATTTTCTGAGGGAAAAGATATTTTGCTAACTTTCATGTACATCTTCTTTCTTAGCCCAGCACACACAGCCATAGATGTAAAAGATTGCCTCATAAAAGCAAATCAGGTGCTGAAGAGAGTCATCTGTATGTGAAGCAGAGAGTCAATGAGGCCATCTTTAGTGGTTGGTGTGCTAGTGACTTAAGGTTCAATTTTAGCAGCTGTTCTTCACTTTCCAACAGGGATATATAAAACACACAGATTGTTATAACTCTCCTTTGACTTTCCTTGTTGATAAATTTAGATATAATATTTTCCTATTTTAAGTAGTGGTTCTCAACATTGTTTACACGTTAGAATCATCTGGAAAGCTTTAGAAAACCCTCATGTTCAGACTACACCACAGACCAATTAAATCAGAATTTCTAGGAGTGAAGCCAAGGCATCAGAATTTTTAAAAGCTTCCTAGGAGATTCCAATGTACAGCCAAGATTGAGAACCACTGTTTTAGATTAAACTATGTAAAATCTGATTAAGAGACCCCTAGATTGGAAACTGACAATAAACAAACATCCAGGTCTGGGATTTCTTAATGGGCTCCACTGGTGCTGTGGACTTCCTTCTCATTCTGACTGTTCTTTTCCTAAGCTGCCTTAAGGCACATTGTTCAGTGGATCCGAGACTCCGATTTGAGAACAAGCATAAGCAAGAAGTGAAACTCTTGCAGCAGGGTACGTGTACCTGCTGTTAATCTTGGATTGCTCATAGTCCTAAACGATGCCCATTATTCAAATCTCAAATTGAATGTTATTTCTTGATGGAGTCTTCTCTGACAACTCTCATATCCATTAATAGTTGAACACTAGTCATACTTTCTCAAACACTCTATTGTTTCCCTTTATAGCACTCATGATATACAGAAATTTTAATGGTTATTTGCTTAATATGTAATACACCACCTCCCCCTCCTCCTACCGCTGGGTTTTGAGCTCATGGATGGAAGAGACCATCTCTGCCTTATTCATTATTGTAAATTTGGCAGCCATCACAATGCATGTGGTAAGAGCTGAGTAAATAGTTGGTGAAGGAATAGAAATCAGAGTACTATTGTTAGATGAGTGTTTATTGACGGGGGAGAATGGTAGAGTCCGGTGCCTCTCTGTGGAGCATTCTATCAATTGTGAGATAGTGCAGAGTGGGGGCAATCTCAATTACCTAATTTTGACCAGTGATTCTCAAATATGGCCTGCTCAGGAGAATCACCGGGATGTTTTGTTGAAAGTACAGATGCCTATGCCTCATCTCCAAAAGATCTGATTTCAGTAGTGTGATGTCAGAGCTAGGAATAAGTTTGCCAGCTAAGTCTGATGCCCTCGGCCACAGTCCAGCATTTAGAAACTACTGCTTTAGCCATTGCCTGAAATGACTTTCAGAACCACTGTCAAATTTGGAGCCTGCATTTTCTGTAGCTCAGTTATTCTTTTGCTCTGTGATGAAATTATGAAGGTGAGGTTAAGGGTTTTCTTTGGAAGAGAGACACATTGCTTTATGCAACAACTCTGGAGGGATAATGCCCCCAGTGCCATCTACTCTGTTTATAATGTGGCTGGCTGAACTTATGGTTTCTTAGGAATCCATGTTCTAAAGCCTGATGGTAATATTAGAACTATGTCAATGTAACACTTTCCCCAAATGCTTGGAAAACTTAACCACGTAGGCCACGGTGTGTGGCTATACTGATCTCAGTGGCTGTACTCACACTGAAAAAAATATGTCAGCATTGGCCATATTTTTATATACCTAGATCTATTTTGAGAAACAGTCAACATGGGAAATATTACATTAAATATTCATGGCATTTGTGTTCATGCTGAAAAAAGTTACACAGATTATAAAACTTCAGTGACTCAGAAATCTCCCATCTATCAAACTCAACTAGCCAAAAAGAGCAAAGAAGGAAAAAATAAGCAAAAGAGAACTCCAGATATCAAAAATATGTGGAATTTTAAATAAAACCTATATGAACAAAAGTAAGACTTTTTTCTTTTTTTTAAAGTAGAATCCATTTACTCAGGATCTATTTGCTGTAACTTTAGACATAATCTAACTGCTTTGGGGAATCATGATGCAGGTACAGTAAACACAAGAATACCAAAATCATAGCCATGTAACACTTCTTGGGCTGAAACAGTCATTTGTTTCAGTGTCTACACTTTAATATTTAATAATTGATAATATTTACATGTGTTATATAATTTAATATTTATCATCAACAAAGAGAACTCCAGGGAAGATAATATTCCCATTCTACAGATGAGGAAACTGTGTGGCAGAGAGGTTAAAAAACTCAATGAAGTCATTCTGATTTCTAATTCAATAAACTTTCTGCTGTATTATGTTGCCTGATGGAGTTTCACTGTTTGTTGCCCAGGCTGGAGTGCAATGGTGCCATCCTGGCTCACTGCAACCTCTGCTTCCCAGGTTCAAGCAATTCTCCTGCCTCAGCCTCCCAAGTAGCTGGGACTACAGCTGTGCACCACCATGCCCAGCTAATTTTTTTTTTTTTAATTTTTAGTAGAGACAGGGTTTCACCATGTTGGCCAGGCTGGTCTCAAACTCCTGACCTCGGGTGATCCACCCGCCTTGGCCTCCCAAAGTGCTGGGATTACAGGAGGGAGCCACCTCACCTGGCCTTCCATTGCCTTGTAAAATAAAGAACAACTTTTGATAACCATGAAGAGAATCTAGAATCATCAAGAAAAGGTTGAAGTTTAGCATACTTAGTTTAAAAGTGTAGAATCATCTATGGTATTTTACAAATGTTTCCATTAACAATAGTTAAAATTAAATAACAATGTGTGAGTGCCTGAAGGAGTAAGTTTCTGTCATATGGAAAAATCACTTATGTGAAATCTTTACTTTGTAGGAATTCAGATGAAAAAGAAATACAAACATACTCACACATTTTTAAAACTGGACTTCTTGCCACTATGAGTCACCACCATTTTTTATGTGAATGTGGTGTGGCATGGGTTATTTATTATTTACATGGTTCACAAACCATTCTTCCGTGCTCAAAAATGGCCCAGGAAAGGAAGGGAAGGAGACAGCACCACTCAATTAAAACAAGAGATTTTTAACAAGACAGTATATGCCCTAACTGGGAGCCAGGACACTGATACTAACCTCTTCTTCACAAAAAGTGATTAAGGGATCTTGGTTTGTGCTAAAGTTCTGCTTGGCAATACGTATGATGGTACTATTACAATAGCTTGTATAAGTTATGCCTTTTTCAAATTCTTACCTTGCCCTTTATCAGCACAGTTCTCCAATCCTAGGATCAGATGTATGGCTGATATAAATCAGCAGAAAACAAAATTCTATATTCCTGTTCCCTGCAATCAATGAGTGGACAGACTGTAAACTCTGCAAGGATAGAAGTTGCTATTATTTTGCAATTGTTTCATTCCTTACTTTACTCACTGATATTTTCTGCAGAGCTGTGCTGGCCATTGGCCTTTGACCTTCCAGGATTTGGTCAAAAAAATTTTTTTTCCAGGATGCTTTCAGATGTCAAAGCATTTGTGAACATTTTACTTCTGAATCCATGTTGGTATTAAAGTAAAGAAGTAATCCCAAATATTAATCTACTGTCTGATTTTTTTTATTATAGTGCTCTTAAACTATTGTGGAGTTATTTTTGCTTCTCTATTCTAAAACTGGGAAAATTGATTTTGAGTCATGACATCAAATTTTTCCTCATCTCCTTATCCATTAATTTGTTAATGGGTTATTTGGTGGTTTTAAAACATGTCCATAAATTCTTTGACACAACTCCTTTCAAAGCTGGAGTCTAATTCCCTGCCACTTCAATGTCCACCAGAGGTAGCGACTCACTTTTAACACACCAAATGTGGCAAGAAGTCATGATCTGTGACCTCTAAAGATAGCCCATAAAAAATATCACCACTTCCATTTGCTCTCTTTTATGTTGTCCACTTTTGGGGGAAGCCAGCTGCCATGTTGTGAGGATACTTAAATAGCCTTCAGAGACACCTGCATGGGGAGGAACTGAGACCTTCTGTCAACAGCCTGCATGTGGAAGATACACCGTGTAAATGCCTCCTCCAACTCCACTCAAGCCTTCAAATGGCTGCAGCCCTGGCTGATTTCTTGACTGTAACCTCATGCAATTCCCCAGCCAGAACCACCCAGCTAAGCCACTCTGAATTCCTGCAGAATCCATGAGAGACAATATATGATTATTGTTGTTTTAAGGCACTAAGTTCTAGAGGACTTTGTGAAGTGGTACTAATCCAGTTGTCTTGTCCAGACAAGGTGTTGCCTTTATTCATACAACAAATATTTATTGAGCATCTAGTCAAGCAGTCTGTTAGGTGCTGCTTGTACCAAAATCAACAGACAAAACATAGTACCTGCCTTTAAAGAGCTTATAACCTTGTGATGGATACAAATTTAAATAAATGATTATCTAATTATTAAATTACAATAAGTGTGCCAGGTAATAGGGTTATGAGTGCCATGATTTTCAACCCAAAGTTCAGGAAAGGTTTACCCGAAGAGCTGACATATAAGCTGAAACTTGAGGAATGTATTAGGAGTTAAGCAGGTAAAGGGGAAGGCTGGGGACAGGAAAGACCTTTCCAGGCGCAGGGACTGTCTATGTTCAATGGTCCCAACTAACAAATTTCTCTACTGGAAACTACTGAGAGATTCTTTGTTCATTCATTCCATCTCTTCAAAGAAATATTAACTGAGCATCTACCACGTGTCAGGTACTGTTCCAGGCACTGGGAATAAAGCAGTGGACAAACAGACAGGAATGCCTGCTCTTCTTGAACTTACATTTTAGTAGGTGAGAAGGATAATAGAAACAAATGAATAAAATATGTAAAATAAACTTCTGGTTCCTGGTCCTACATACAAGGAGCATGAAAGTCATCTCTCAAGCTTTTTTTTTCTCAAGAAAAAGGCTGAACAAACTGAAAATCAATAACTCTTTCTAGATCCATCAGAGAACTGAGATCATAGGGCAAACTTTGCCCCCATATTGGCCAGCCAGCCAGCCAGGCAGATACAGAGAATCACAACTTACGTTAAAACTCAGTGGGAACCAGTATGGGGGTAGGAAAACCTAATCTGTAAGTGCCAAATTGCTGAAGGCTCAGTGTGTACAAGTTTGAGAGTTAAAAACTCCAGAGGGGCCCAGTCTTAGGGAGGCCCCCAGGCTTTCCTGAGTTTTACCTTCAAGAGCTCTATCAGGTTTTCATAGTGAAGATCAGAGAAAAATCCCCTTGTGCTTCTGGCAGGGGGAGAGGAAAATGAGCTATTTTGAAATGTGCCCAGAGCATTCTGTTCTTCCTAACAAGGACTGCCTTCAAGAGAAACGATTTTACCAGAGTCTAAACTACCGGGGTCTTCCTGGAGACTAACTGCCTTGGGAGAAGGAAAAAACTCAACTCGAGCCCTGAGTAACTTTCCTGTCTCTTCTATGGGAAAAACCCAAACCAAACCAAATCAAAGCAAAACGGAGAAGCACCCATGAAGGTCACAGGCTGGGGACACAGGCTCACGAAAAGGCTGAGACCCAATCCTAGGACTATAGAATGCTGCTTCTCCCCTCACACCTCACCACAGCACCAATGGGGCTCCTGTATAATAACAACGGGAAAGAACTGTGCATCTCAGGTATTTGGGGTGTCTCTAGGGAAACCCAAGGACAACAGAGGATATGAACATAAGGATACCACAGGAAAGTTTAACTTCTGCTACCTACAGCTACAGCAAACGGTACATATAGAGTAACCTCTAGCCAGATAAACAAAATAGATAACGCTGGAGATGGTAATAAGTACTGAGAAGAAAAAGATTAGGGGTATTAAAGGAGGGATGCGTTGCAATTTTAAATATGAGGTTGGTGCAAAAGGTATTGCGGTTTTTGCCATTACTTTTAATAGTATGGACAGGAAACGTCTCACTGAGCAGGTGACATCTGTGCAAACATCTGAAGGAGGCGAGAGAGTGAGTCATGGAGACAGCTGGGAAAGATGGGAGGGAATATCAAATCCTAGGGTACGAAATGTTAGGTGGCTGGGAAGTAGGAGAAAAACCAAGAAAGTGTGGTGTCCTGAGAGAGAAGTTAATAAAATACTTCCAGAAGGACAGAGCGAACGATGATGTTAAACGTTACTGAGGCGTCAAATGAGAGAACTGACCATTAGATTTAGCAATGTGGACATCATTGCTGGAGAGCAGTTTTGGAACATGGAAGAGGCAAACGCCTGATTAAACAGCATTCTAGAGGGAATGGGAGAACAGATTTTAGAGACACGAGTGTAGATAAGTCTTCAGAGGAATTGCTGTGAAGAAGAATGGAAATATGAATTTGTAGCTGGAAGGCAACATAGATGGGAGAAATAGCATCATGTTCATATGCTGATGGAATGATCTGGCTAAGAGGGGGAAAATGGTGATGCAGGAGAAGGAAAGGGGAGGAATTTCTGGAACAATGTTCTTGAATATTTAAAAGGATTGGGATCTAGTGAACAGGCGGAGAGTTCAGCCTTAGATAGCAACACGGAAAGTTCATCCCTGGTAAAGGAGAGAAGGCGGTGTATCTGGGCCCAGATGCTTGTGGGCGGATGGAGTTGCTTGTGTGTTGGTGGGAACTTGTGGAAGTTCTCTTCTGATTGTTTCTATTTTCTCAGGGAAATAGCAATCAAGGTCAAGAGCTGAAAGTGAAGATGGGGGAGGAGGTGTTAGAAGTTTTAGGAGAGAGGAGAATTGTTGTCTAGGAGAGTATAATAGTAAATGAATCAGGGAAATGTGCTATGCCTGCTGGGCCTCATGAACTGCATGCTTAAAGTTATTAGTCAGGAATGTCATGAATTTAAAGGGAGACCTGTCAGTACGGATGAATGTCTTCTTCTAGCTCCTATTGGCTGTACAGGTTCAGGTTAAGAATAACATTTCTGTAAGTGAGGATAACATAGATGCTTGTTCACATCTAACAACCAGCTATTAAGATAATTAAGAAATGATGCATTTGTGCAAAATCTACTTCATTTAGCATTGTTGGAGAATTGTGGAGGGGCCTCTGGTTAATTGAATATTTTAGATAATTAACTCCATTATGTCACCCATGAAATTTTTTTTTTTTTTTTTGTAGAATTAACTGTAGGAAAAAAAAAAACTACTCTGAATATCACATGAGAGTTTTGGGATAATAGTAAGTACCTAAATATCTAACAGCACTTCAGTACCATTGTTATGAAAAGCAATGCTTACTGCAGGTTTTCCTAGGGGAAAATCTGGTTATTTGAGTTTTATAACAGTTTGGAATCTGGGTACATTATGTCGAGAATTTTCCAAAAGATATAAAATTAGAAAGGGATGTCACTAAATGTATTAAGAGTATCTTCATAAAAATCCACCAACTGTGTCTCGGTTGTACCTATGATAGCATTGTAATAACAGGTTTTTTTTTTCCTTTCAGTTGCCTTTATCTTTGATAATGAAGCAGCAATGAGAACATAGGCTCTTAATTTTTGACGATGTCATCACCGCTGCCAATGTCAGTGTGGGTTTGATTATCTAGACTTGCTTCATCTTTGATGCCTGCAAGTCAGACTTATTTATCTCTCAACTGCTTGTTTTCTCTAGTAGTTCAAACTCTCTTTATAGTTGTAAGTATGTTTTGCATTATTCACTTATTTTTAAAAATAACTGATTACATAAGCAATACATATTCACTGAAAACAATTTGGAAGACATGCAAAGGTAGAGAGAAGCATCTTGCCACCCAGAGATGAGCACAATTAACATTTTGGTGAATTTAAATCTAATATTTTAATTCATACATATGTATATTCAGAAAATTTATATCAAACTGTATCTCAGTTTATGGCCTTTTAACTAAATATTTTATTATGAGATTCTCACATGCCATTACGTATTCTTTCTTTTTTGTTTTTGTTTTTTTTTAGAAGCTGGACTTCACTATGTTGCCCAGGCTGGACTTGAACTCTTTTAGATGGGCTCAAGTAATTCTCCCACCTCAGCCTCCCAAGCAGCTGGGACTACAGGCACACAACACTGCACCTGACTACCATTACATATTCTTTGAAAATATATTCTTTAATGCCTATATTGTAGTTTATTGTATGAATATACCATAATTTATTTAACAACTCTCCCATCATTGCACATGTAGTATGTTTTTAAATTAAAAAAACCATGATGGGAGCATCCTTGAACATAAATCTCCTTTTGTAGAACTGATTTCTTTTCTTTTCTTTTCTTTCTTTTTTTTTTTCCGAGACAGGGTTACACTGTGTCACCCAGGCTAGAGTGCAGTGGTACGATCTTGGCTCACTGCAACCTCTACCTGCCAGGTTCAAGCCTGATTTATTTTCTTAAGGTAGAGTCCTAGAAATTGAATTCTGGGGTCAAAGGGTACAAACATTTTTAAAGTCATGTGTACATATTGCAGCCACCTTCCTGAAAGATTATGCTTATTTGTAGTGCCCTGAAAGTGAACAAGGTGGTTGATTTTGCTGCACCCTTAAGAATTCTGTCTGTCTAGTACCTATCACATACCTCACCTATGATTACTTCAGTTTAGTTCTCAAATGAACTGTTTCATTAGCCTCCCAACAGGTCTCGCTGATTACTCTCTTTTCCTCCACTGAGATATTCTCCATGCTGCTGGCGGAGGTATTGTTCCACACCACTGACCTTGTCACTTCCCGGATAAAAACCTCAGATGGTTCCTCAGTCCCCATGAGTTACACGGCAGCACACAATGCCCTTCACAGTCTGCTCCAGCCTCTCTTTTTAGCCTCATTGGCCACTCACCTCTAAGTACTCTGAATAAGCCGCACAGAATCTTTTTATTTACAGAACACATAGTACTCATTCATGCTTCCAAGCCTTTACACACTTGCACTCTGTCACGCTTCCTCCCTGAAATTCCAATTCATCCTTCCTGACACAGGGCAGAGGTCCCTTCCGTGATGCTTCCCTGACTTCTCAGGGTGAGGCAGTTGTGCATGGAACTAAGCTCACTTCCCACAGTATTGTGCTCATATCCACAACTATGTCACTGATCATTTTGCATTGCATTTCTTGGCTTACCTTGTTTTCCCATTGAGTTAGAGTACGTCAAGAACCTTGTCTTATTTATTAATATTTTTGTCCTCAGTTTTTTAGCTTGTTACATAGTTGGGGATCAATAAATATTCATTGACCCAATGGCTAAAAGCACAGAATGTTTTGAGTATTCTGACATTGTTTAGCTCAGAAGGGATGGATTGCCTGGATATGCCGTTGTTCCCTAGTCCACAGCAGTCTCTTAAGTGGCTTCCCTTAGCTAGCATCTGAGCATATCTCTGTCCTATGCAGTCTTTGATCACAAGCTCCTGTATATTTTTCCATCTCTTTCTGGTCTTTGTCTTAATGTGTTTTATGGCCCCTCCCCTACATTCTTTTAGTCCATGCACCCCACTTTGATTTCACTCATTGAACAAAGCTTAGTGCCATGAGCAGCTAATGGCTTTACCTCGGTACTTTCCCTTTTGTTCTTGTTCTGTTCCCATAGAACACCCCAGATGTTAACATTTTCTGATCCTCCTTTGTACAGGTGGCTGATTGTGGGCTGCAGAAACACACAGAATTATGTTGCCTGGATCATCCTTCTTGTGAACTCTATCCTAACATATATTTATATATTTTCTCTGCCTCTGATTTATTTTTTATTTTCTGTTCTTAGGTATGCCCTGCAAGCAACCTCTATCCTTTGTTGAACAAAGCAGAATATAAATACATACATAAATCAACACATCAATGCAAAGACCCATGCTGATCTCTATTATTACTGACTGCATGCTTTCAGAAGGCTGCTGGGCAGTCTGCTGCTCACCTGTGTACACACTGGCTTGTCTTTTCATACTCCTCACAAGGTTGCTTTCTCAAACCTTTTCTGTTCTCTGTTTCAATGACTTGGCCTCAAATTTCTCTTAAAAATAGAGGCCATCTGAGGAGATTTGACTTCAGTTCTGACTCTGCTATCTTGCCTTCTCTTTCAGGGCTATCCAGTTAAGAGCATGGTGCTTCCGGTTTGTACTGAACTCTCCGTGGCACCTTCTCCTCTGCGTACAAACCTGCTCCAGTGGATCTCAGCTAATGACTTCTCTCTCTTCCTTTTCTATAACGCATCTTAATTTCCAACTCAGAGCCCAATTTTGCTGATGTTGTGGGAAAAAAAGGAACTTCTATTCTTCTCAGCATTTACCTTTTCCTCCTAATGGATCTTATGCAGTGGGAAGGTTTGAGAATGAGGAGAGAATGAGAAAAGGCAGCAATGATTCTCTTGGTTATTGGTCTGCACAGGTCACCATTAAGAAGTCTGCTTTAACACTTCTTGACCAGGAGGCAACTTTGCTGAGCCTACTCAAAGCCCTGTATTCATAGACAGATTACACAGTCCTTTTAATCTCAGGTCTCAGCTCCTTCTGTGAGGCTGCTGCAAAGGCAGAGCCCTCATAATCTGCTCTTGGAATCCACAGTTGGCTTTCTCTCTACTTCCTCCTCCTTCTCTGCCTCTGGAAATCTCTACTGGGGGAAATATGTCTCCTTTCATTTTTTTTTTTTTTTTGTCAAGAAATTGGTTCTTTGACAAACTTAGTCAAACCCTGAGTTAGGGTTCCTTCTCTAATTTCTCCCAAGGGCTTAAGAGTTTGGGAAACAACAAGAGAAAAACCAAAAAGACTTTTGAATAAGGGCAAGACTGACTGAACGCCTTAAATGTCAGGGAAACAATCAGAACAATATATCAAGTGGTATTCCATCACGGTAAACACAATAAAAGCAAACAAAAACTAGTCCCTGATTCTTCTGTAAGCACCCAATTTTTGTCCACCAGCAGCCCTTTTGAAAAAATAATCAGTATCTATTGTCTTCATTCTATTTTAGTCATCCCTTTTACCACTTGCAATCTGGCTTTACTTCTAGCATGCTACTAAAAACACTCTCTCTGAATCTCCAACCCAACTGTTTTTAGTTTTTTTCTCCGTCTCTCCTAACTTCGTTTTTACCTTCCAACCTCCCTCTTTTCTTCCATATTATTTGACTACTTAGTTGCAGACCATGCACTGGAGAAACAAGAATAAATTAGACTCTTCCTGGTTTTTAAAAATAATATTTAAGTTTTTTTTTTTTTTTTTTTTTTAAGAGATGGGGTTGCCAATCTCTAAATATATTGCCCAGGCTGGCCTTGAACTCCTGGGCTCAAGTGATCTCCTCTTCCTCAGCCTCCCAAGTAGGTGGGATTACAGGTTCATGCCATCGTGCTGGCTGTTCCTGTTTTTAAGAAATTTAAGATAAGGTGAGGCACATAGGAAAATAAATAAGCAAGTACTTCACAGACATTTGTTGCTTCTGCTTTTGATGCTAGGAAAGCCCTAGTCCCTTCTTGTTGATGTTCAAGTTTCTAATCCCTCCTCCCTCCATTTCCTCTATTGTTTGTTCACTGGCTCTTCTTAAATTTTCCATCCACTAAGCTTTTTACATGACTTTGTCCTGGGTTTCTTCCCTCAGAGAAGTTCTGTGTGTCCATGTGGATGAATAGTAAAGCTGTATCTTGGGCCCAATCTCTCGATTTGTCTGTAGCCTGATGTTTATAATAGCCGGCTAAACAAATGCTGCTAGATCTCCTCTTCTCACCTCTCCTTCTGTTAACGTCATCACTACTGTCTTTCTGTAAAGTTTAAGACCAGGTGGGTGCAGTGGTATATGCCTGTACTCCCAGCACTTCGGGAGGCTAAGGTAGGCAGGTCACTTGAGCCCAGGAGTTGAAGGCCAGCCTGGGCAACATAGGGAGACCCTGTCACAAAACAACAACAAAAAAAGGCACCACATTTTTCAACCCTCTTCATCCAGCCAACTGCCCTTTTGTTGCTCCCCATATTACTTTGATTAAACCTGTATAGGACAAAGAACTTTTTGCTTTGCTTTTCTTCATGCCTGGAACAGAGATCTCTTTGCTAGACAATCAGAATGTCCTGGAAACTTGTCTTCCTATTCCAAACCTTTTTTTTTTTATTTTTATTTTTTGAGACAGAGTCCTGCTCTGTCACCCAGACTGGAGTGCAGTGGCGTGATCTCAGCTCACTGCAACCTCCGCCTCATGGGTTCAAGTGATTGTCCTGCCTCCACCTCCTGAGTAGCTGGGACTACACAAATATGCCACAATGCTCAGCTAATATTTGTATTATTTTTTTAATTGCAGAATTTTTAAAAAATTATTATATTTTAAGTTCTGGGGTACATGTGCAGAACGTGCAGTTTTGTTACATAGGTTACACGTGCCATGGTGGTTTGCTGCATCCATCAACTCACCCATTACTGGGTATATACCCAAAGGATTATAATTTTTGTATTGTTAGTAGGGACGGGGTTTCACCATTTTGGCCAGGATGGTCTCGATCTCTTGACCTCGTGATCCGCCTGCCTCGGCCTCTCAAAGTGCTGGGATTACAGGCGTGAGCCACCACCCCCAGCCTCAAACTTTTCTTACACTTCAGAATACGCTTTCAGTAGTACCACATCTGTCTCAAGGCTTTCTTGACCCAGATCCTGCATTGCCTCTTCTTTGTCAATTGGATCAAATTTGAATTCTTCACCCAGCAGTCAATGCCTCCATGATATAGTCCAAATTATATTTCCAGCTTTATCTCCAAGCAGGCTTTTATGAATATCTGATATACTATAACATACATGTGCCATTCCTCAGATGCCAGGTTTATTGCCTAATTGCTTTTGCTTCTGTTTGTACCGCTAGAATGCATTATTCTATACGATATTGAATGCGCCCATTGCTACTTGTTGAGATCTTAGCCATCTTTAAAACTTCTTAAAAGTGAAACGGGGTGCGGTGGCTCAGGCCTGTAATCCCAGCACTTTGGGAGGCCGAGGCGGGCGGATCACGAGGTCAGGAGATCGTGACCATCCTGGCTAACACGGTGAAACCCCATCTCTACTAAAAATACAAAAAATTAGCCGGGTGTAGTGGCGGGTGCCTATAGTCCCAGCTACTAGGGAGGCTGAGGCAGGAGAATCGCTTGAACCCGGGAGGCGGAGGTTGCAGTGAGCCGAGATCGTGCCATTGCACTCCAGCCTGGGTGACAGAGTGAGATTCCGTCTCAAAAAAGAAAAAAAACTTCTTAAAGGTTTTATTCCATGAATCAGTTCAGGTCTCTCTAACCAGACTCTGTCTTTTCCCCCATTGATTTCCCAGAGCACTTTGTTTCAACCTCTTGCATGCCTGTGCTCTTATTCTTCCCTATATAATGATTACTTATTTCTCTCATCCACTTGTTAAACTTCAGTCTCCTTAGAGATGGTGCCTCTTCTTACTCATTTTGCGGACTTAACAGTGTATGTTGTTGTATCTTCTATATAAAGGGACCCAGCATCTATTCTCTCTTTCTCTTTAGTAACAGAACTCCCGTTTTTTTTTTTTTTTTTCCAGGATGATACTGTGCCCAGCTAAAAATACTTATTCTCCAAGCTCTCTTGCAGTCAGGTGGCCAAATGAGTCAGTTCTATACAAGGAGATGAAAGCTGAGGGTTTCTGACTTTCTAGATATAGGCACCACACCCCTTTCTGCTTTGCCCTTCTGCCTGGAACATGGACCTGAGTCTAGTCTTCTGGCCATTAGATAATAATCTTCAGGGTGAAGATCAACTCATCGATTCTTTCATTTAACAAATATTTACTGAATACATGCTATTGTGCCAGGCACTGTTGTGGTTGCTTTAAAAAGCAGCAGAGCAGAAGGATAGAATCTGAATCCCCGATGGCATCATTAAACATTGCAGCATCTTTAACTGTGTACCTCTGGACTTCATGAACCCCCTTCTCTTCAAGCTAATTTTACTCAGTTGTTTGATCATTTTCTGTTATTTTAAAGTTGAATGCATTTCTTATCCACACAATGCTGTTCTATTACTGATCTAAAGCCTGGAATTGTAAGTGAGACTGGCTCAGGTTTATTTTCCTCTTGAAATAATCGTGTGAATTTTCTCCTTTATTCTATTAGTTTTTGTTGATTTTCAAACGTTAACCAATCTTGCATTCTTGTAATAAACTTTACTGGATTTGAATGTATTTATTATCTGTTTGTGTGTATTAGTGGATTCAGTTTGCTAATATTTTGTTTGGGATTTTTGCATTATGTTCATGAGCAATACCGGCCTGTAATTTTCCTTCCTTGTAATGTTAATGTCAAGTTTGATATCAAGGTTATCCTGGCCTTACGAGTTGGGAAGCAGTTTTTCTTTCCATTATCAGGAAGAGTTTGAATAAGATTATTCTTAATTCTTTAAATAATTAAAAAAATTTACTGGCGAAGCCATTTGGGCTTGGAGCTTTCATTGTTTTAATTACGGATTCATTTTCTTTAAGAGATACAGGGCTATAAGAATTTCTATTGGAGGAGGGAAGAGATATTGGTCAAAGGATACTGAATTTCAGTTAGGAATAAATTAAACACTTCTAATGTATAAGATGGTGGCTATAGTTAATAACAATGTATTATATTCTTGACAATTGCTAAGAGAGTAGGTTTTAACTCTTCTCACTGTAAAAAATAAGTATATGAGATTATGCATATGTTATTTAGCTCAATTTAGCCACTCTACAATGTATTCATATATCAAAACATTTTGTTATATAAGACAAATATATATAATTTTTTGCCAATTAAAAACAAATAAAATTTTATTATTAAATTCATTTTTGGTAAGTTATGCTTTTCAATGAAATTGTTCATCTAAAATCAAATTTATTTATCTATTATCTTTTTAATGTCTATGGAATCTGCAATAAAGTCCCCCTTATTATATATGATATTAAAAATATATTCTCATTTTCTTGATTAATTTTTCTTGAAGTTTATCAGCTTTTACATTTGTTTTCAAATAACTATCTTTTGCCTTAATTTTCTCTAATATATATTTGCTTTCTATTTTATTGATTTCTACTCTTAATTTTTTTCTGTTTTTTAGGGTTTAGTTTTTTTTCCAGATTAGTTTCTTGAGATGGAAGCTTATATCCTTGATATTTAATCCTTCTTTGTTTCTAAAAGATGTACTCAAAGTAATATCTTTTCCTCTGAGTACTGCATTAGCTGCATAGAACAAATCATACATATTTTAATATTTTTGAAAATGACAAATGAAAAATTGTATATATTTATAATGTACAATGTGACATTGCACATTATACACGTTTTGATATATGTAGACATTGTGGAATGATTAAACCAAGTTAACTAATGTATCCAGCACTTAACATATTGATGTTTTGTGATGAAGACATTCATTACAATTTGTTATTGTTAACTCTAGTCACCATGCTGTACAATAGATCTCCTGAACTAACTCCTCTTGTCTAACTGAAACTTTATGCGCTTTGACCAACATCTCACCATCCCTCTAAAACTCCTCTCCCCAACCCCAGCCTCTGGTAATCGCCACTATTCTCCTTTCTGCTTCCATGAGTTTGATTTTTTTTTTTAATTCCACATATAAGTGAGAGCTTATAGTATCTATCTTTCTGTGCCTGGCTTATTTCACTTAACATAATGTCCTCCAGGTTCATCCATGTTGTCACAAATGACAGAATTTCCTTTTCTTAAGGCCAAATAATATACCATTGTGTATATATTTTCTTTATTCATTCATCTACTATTGGACACTTAGGTTGATTCCTTATCTTGGCTATTGTGAATAATACTGGAATGAACATGGGAGTGCAAATATCTCTTCAACATAACTGATTTCATTTCCTTTGGATATCCATACTCAGAAATAAAATTGCTGGATCATATGGTAATTCTATTTTTAATTTTTTGAGGAACTTCCATACTGTTTTCCATATGGCTATACTAATTTACTGTCTCATGAACAGTGTACAAGGGTTCCCTTTTCTGACCAACACTTGTTACCTTTTGTCTTTTTGATAAAAGCTATCCTTACAGGTGTGAGGTGGTATCTCATTGTGGTCCTAATTTGCATTTCTCTAATGATTAGTGATGTTGAGCATTTTTCATATACCTGTTGTCCTTTGACATTTTTTATTTTTTTGAGAAATATCTACTCAGGTCTTTTGCCCATTTTAAAATCAGGTTATTTGTTTTCTTGCTATTGAGTTGTTTGTGTTCTTTATACATTTTGGATATTAACTCCTTATCAGATGTGTTGTATGCAAATGTTTTCTCTCATTCCATAAATGGTCTCTTCACTCTGTTGATTGTTTCCTTTGCTGTGTGTGCAGAAGCATTTCAGTTTGATGCCATTCCCATTTGGCTACTTTTGTTTTCGTTGCCTGTGCTTTGGGGTCATTAATATGTCACATTTTTGCTATCATTTAGGTCAAAATATTTTCTTTCTCTCTCTTTTTCAGGGTTTCACTCTGTCATCCATGCTGGAGGGCAGTGGCATGATCATGGCTCACTGTAGCTTTGACCTCCCCAGGCTCAAACAATTCTTCCCCCTCAGCCTCCTTGGTAGCTGGGACTACGGGTGCACACCACCATGCCAGTCTAATATTTTTTGTAGAGATGTGGTTTCACCAGGTTGCCCAAGCTGGTCTTGAACTCCTGGGCTCAAGTGATCCACCCACCTCAGACTCCCAAAGTGTTGAGATTACTGGTGTGAGCCACTGTGCTCGGCCTCAATATATTTTCTAATTTCCATTATGATTTCTTATTTTATCCGTTTGTTATTTAGAAATATATTGCTTAATTTACAAATATTTTGGGATAGTCTAGTTACTTTTCCATTATTGATTTATAGATTAATCTCATTGTGGTAAAAAAAAAAAAACTTATTCTGGGTGATTGTATTCTTTGAAATTTGTTAAGATTTTCTTTATAGCCCATTATAAGATTTATTTTAGTGACTGTTCCATGTGCATTGTAAAGAATGCATATGCCCAATTGTTGCGTATCATCTTATATATGTATCAGTTATATCAATTTTTAATCATATTGTTAAAATCTATACACTTACTTTTTGTTGCCTACTCTATCGGCTACTGACATGTTACGATTTTTAGTTATTACAATGAATTTGACTACTTTGTTTTATATATGTCAAAGCTATGTTATTAAATACATAGAAATTTATGACTTCTTCCTGGTGAATTGGCCCTTCTATCATTATAAAATGTCTCTCTGAATTTTTTGCCATACTTCTTGCCTCAGAGTTGTCTTAATATGATATTATTATAGCTACACCAATTTTTGTTTGGATGAAGTTACCATCTTTTTACATTCAAATTTTCTGTGTCTTTATATTTACGGTGTGTCTCTTGTCAGAGTTATGTTTGAATCTTAATTCTTTTGCCTTTTGTTATCTAAAGCCCAGTTTTCTTGACTGTAAAATAGAGATGATGATGTATGTATAGTTGTCTATATGCTATATATAATTATACATGTATAATTAGTGTATAATTATACATGTATAATTAATGTGTATACACACACATATATACACACTAATTATACATGTGTAATTATATATAGCATATAGACAACTATACATACATCATCATCTCTATTTTACAGTCAAGAAAACTGGGCTTTAGATAACAAAGGGCAAAAGAATGTTACTATCAACTATTATTATTTAATAGATGCAATACTTTTTTTTTTTTTTGAGACAGGGCTTGCTCTGTCACCCAGGCCAGAGTGTAGTGGTACCATCACGGCTTACTGCAGCCTCTGCCTCCTGGGTTCAAGAAATTCTCCTGCCTCGGCCTCCTGAGTAGCTGGGACCACAGGTGCATGCTACCATGCTTGGCTAATTTTTTTGTATTTTTTGTAAATGGGGTTTTGCCATATTGTTTAGGCTGTTCTTGAAATTTTGGGCTCAAACAATCTGCCTGTCTCAGCCTCTCAAAGTGTTGAGATTACAGGCATGAGCCACTGTGCCTGGCCGATCTATTTTTTAAGATACATAATTTGTTTTTTCAATTTAATTCCAGTTAAATACTATTCCAGTGTAGTCCTTATTATATGGTAATACCATATTATATCATGATAAGGAAAAAATACCTCTCTACTCTTTGAATTTCTGCTTCCTTATTATGAAGCTAAATCTAGGGAAAACATTCAAGCAATTGTATACTTCCTTCTTTGTAACACTGCCTCAGAGAGGAAAGTTAAGAAAGCTCTAACCTCTGACTTTTATGAGTTATAGGAGATAGTCTAAATTTTTTTCAGTATAAAGATAAAAAACCCCACCAATTAGAAGCTATTAGAAGCTTATTAGAAAATAATTGATTTATTAAAGATTATCATTTTTTACTTCAGTTTGAGGGTCTATTCTCACTTTCTTCTTTTATCCATCTATCCAGCCATTTATTCATTTTACATATATTGAAATTTTATCATGTAGTAGGGGCCGAACGTACAAAAATCAGTATGACAAAGTCTCTCCTTCTGAAAGAGAAGTAGGGAAGTCTAGTGAGAAAGAAAGATAAACATTAGGAAAACCTTATACTCTGATATATAATGACAGCAGTATGTACAGGATGCTATGGCAGTGTATAGAAGAAAACATAAACTTCGATCAGGAATACTCCCCTGTTTGTTGTTGCCTATCTTGAGGATGACTCAGAATTCCTGGATGAATGGACATTTGAATTGGACCTTTAGAATGACTTGGCATTAGACAGGTGAACCAAACAAGCACTTGTATAGGAAAAAGAGGCGCTTGAGGTATTTTAAGCAGAAAGGGATTTATTATAGGGACTTACGTGCTTATGCAATTATTGCAAGGATGAGAAGAATGAGCTCCTTTCTGAGCCTCCAGAAATGAATCACAGAATGCCACCTATTGTGGGAGCTACTGTCTTACCATATTCAGGAGGTGAGAATCAAGAGGTTCACTGGACCAATTAACTTAAAAACATCGTGCTGTAATTCAGACCCACGGGTTGGGAAGCTGGGATCAGGAAGCCACTACTACCAGTAGTCTAACACTCAATACCCAGAACACTGGAAACGGTCTGCTGGAATGCAGAAATAGCCATAGCTGCGCAACTCTCCTTGCCTGCAGGAAGGAAGCAGTCAAAAGCAGTTGGAAGATGGTATTTCCTTCACTTCTACCTTCCTATCTCTGACTGAGTGCCCCCAATAAAGCCTATTTCACACCCAGGAATCTAACTGTAAGGGAGTCTGGAAAATAAAATTTGTAGTTTTCTAGACTTTGCTGTACAAAGGAGAGTACACTGGGAGGAGATGAGAACAAAGACAGAACGCAGATCAATTATCAATCATACTAGGTGAAAATGAGATGGGAATAGGAGAGTCAGATGGAGAGAATAGTATGTACAAAAAAAAAAGTAAAATAACATGGAGATTGTGAGGAATTTCTGAGATGGCTGGATGGGGAAACAACAAAAGATGAATTGAGAGAGAAATATTGTCTAGATAATGAGAATGAGCTGGGAGGGAGTGGTGGAGAAGGGGATTATGAAATTTAGGCACACCAGGAAAGAGGATATTGCATTAATTAAGGTGAGTGACAATACTGGCTCAGACTAAGACAATAGTGATAGAAACAGAAGAGACAATTTAGAGAGAGAGTTAAAATATCATGATCATTTTTATTATATACTTTTTTCTTTATGGCAATTTTTCTTTAGGAATGCCTCCTTTGTTCTAGTTTTTTGTTTGTTTTAACATAAGGCTTGTAGAATGTGTTTTTCCAGTCCATGGCAATTCTCCACTAAGCATGGGCAAAACTTGTGGTCAGTGTTGTTTCTATTTTCATGTAGTTTCATATGTTGGTTGCCTTCCCAGTTAGAGAAGACACTTAAAGAGCAGAGATTACATTTTTTACTTACTTGATGTAACATTTGAAAATTTTGACTAAGGCACATAGAATTAATAGATACATTTCCTGGAAAGGCTCCAGATCAAAATGTAAATTTTCAAAAATTGTTTTAAAACCAATTACAGGAGTCTTACAAGTCTTGCTTACATGGAGGGTCTAAAAAAGTAGGATGAAGAAAAGATCTTAAAGAGGATTTTTTTTGGAGAGAGCAGTGCTGAGATTCTAAATCTACCCAAGGGAGAAGGTTAAAGTACCTGCATCTCATTTCAAGCCTAGTGCAAGGGACTTATTAGGAGCACTCACTGAACCTGATATGAAATTAAGACACAGAGTAGACCAGTGTTTGCCTCCTGTTTGAGAAATCTAACAGGCATGAGACAGGCTGGTTTGCTTTAGATGGATGACCGGGGGAGTATGTGTGACTCATATCAAGGGACTCTCAGATGAGAAGTTCTCAGTGATGCGGTTCTTTCTAAGAATCCACAAAATAGCTTCTGAGAGTCAGTGTTATAAGAGCGTATGATGGTACTAATTAGGTGAGAGTTTTCTTGTCCCCCCTCAATTCGCCTCTTTTCAACACCATTTGACCTTGGAAGAAAAGATTTGAACCAGATTCACAAAATGGAAAAGGGGTGGTACAAGGAAAAGGGACTCCTCCTCCCCATCTGCCTATCCCTTCCTTACTTCCTACCTGCGGAAATTCTTACAGGGGAAGGGGGAAGAAGAAGTTTTCATTTCAAATCAGGTTTGAAGTTTTGATAATTGTCTATAATTGGGTACTCTTAATTATGAATTTGAGACTATGTTTGCAACTTGAAAGGACAGTTAGACTTCTGTTTACCTGAGAAGTTAGAGGAATTATGGGACTTTTGAGTTTCTATCTATGTTAGTGGAAGCAAGTTCCCCATTCATTAACCTTTAAAGGAAGAGGGGCAGACAATAAAAAGTTGCTTGGTGATTATACCCCTACCCTATTACTTCTGTTTGGTTACATACTGGTTAAACATTTTCATTCCCAGAGGCCCTGCTGATGAACTCCTGGATGGAGGTGGAAAAGGCAACATGGTTTGATATAAGGAGCTTTCTGCTACATCCTAGCTGTGCGACCTTATGAAACATACATAATTCTTATACGTCATGCTTTCTTAATCTACAAAATAAAGTGAATCCATAATGTCTGCCTTTTTTTATTTCACAGTATTGTTGGGGAGATCAAATAGGACAGCACACTTGAAAAGGTTTCCAAATTCCAACAGGTACTCAAAATCAATTAAATCGTTCATGATTGATTTACCTTGACTTAGAAGGCTCATGAAATATTTCCCTCTTCCCCATAGGGCAAGCCATACTAAATTCATAGCTAATAAGAACAGCTAAAGAAAAAAACAAACTCCAGAAGAGGATATTCCACAGAATCCTCCAGTGGCCCATTCCTATTTCTAACAGTGCCAGGATAATCTGTTCTGCCTGAGTATTCTTGATGCTTTATCGCCACTTACAAAAGCCATTGACGACTTAGCGCTAATGAAAGTTTTCTTCTCCAAATCATTTTTTCAGCACCTTCTCCAACATGCATGTTGAATTACTGGCCAATTACCTGGAAACTGAAGTGAGCCCAAGAGAGTCAGTGAATTATTAAGAAATCATTTACAGAAAGTAGTAATGCCAGTGGAGAAGGTTGATTGAAAGAGTGTCTTTATTTGTCTCATAAAAGGGCTAGGAAGGTAGAAGAGAGCATGAGGAGACTGGTAAGAAAGTTCTTCTAGGTCAAAAACAAGGAAAATAATATGACCTTCTCACAGATGACATCTGTCTGTGGTTATGGTATGGGATCTGCCTGACAAAGCCACTGGGAAACAGGCTGCCTCTAATTGAAAATGATCCTAGCAGTGCTTGAATGAGGCAATGTTCTGTTGTATTGTGTAGAAGAACAAGAATAGAGGCATTTGTGAAGGAAAACGGACCATGAAATCTAGGGGATGCTTGAGTTTCTGCAGGAAGCCATTCCTCTTCTCTCTTTCAAAGCTTCAAATTTACATTTTAAGCTTCTTGAAATCAGTAACAGTGGTTTCTATCATCTCTACCTACACCATAGCTGTCTGCTTTTTCTCCTGTGAGTGATGCCATTTAAAAGAATACAAACCACCTCTCTCATTGTCTCATAGGAGTTTATGCTCTGCAATGAACTTTACATTCATAGACCAGAGAGAGAATGAGTACACCATGCAACAGAGTGGATTGAGAAATGGAAATGATGGATAGAAAATTAGTGACTTTCCCCATGTTTAGATATTAAAAGCAACATATATATATGTGTGCGTGTGTGTGTGTATATACATATAGGAAGTGAGGAGGAGCAGAGGGCAGTGCAAAGAAGCAATTTTAGTTGATAAATGAGATTTTTCCTAAAATCAAGAGAACATCAAAATAGTCTTTAAGTATAATATTTAAAGTTCTCACAGCAATGAAGAAAAGGACTAAAAATAAGTTAACTTTTAAAACTAGGAAGAAAGAGGGAGGAAGTGGAATTGAATTAAAATGGTTTATGTATAATATTTTAGTTGGAGAGTCAAAAGATGCTGCTGAAAGTTGACAAGTGAAGAAACAATGGAAGCATATTTTTGATAGTGATGGAAGTGACTGTCTTTGATTATAAACACAAGAGCAGTGGCTTCCCTTGAGGGCTAAAGCAGGTGCTTCCAGCAGCACCATGGAGCAAAATATCCCAAGGAGGTGGGCTTTGTCGTTCCCCTCTCCTATTCAACAGGGACAACTGTGCTTTTCAGATGTTTTACATCTTGGGTTGCAGTGAAACATTTTGCTGGAAAAAACAGGTTTCATTGCTTTAAAATACTCAGAAACCATTTTCCTAGGACAAGATGCATCTGTTAAAATGATCTGCGTTAAAATCCTATATTGTAGCAGGGCCAAGGAAATTTCCAGAGAAAGGTAAGGGGCTCTTGTAATATAATATGTATCTGTATGATCTTTCCTTTTTTTGAAAATGGATCCTCTTTCGCCCACACCCATGAGAATTGCCCCAGAAAACATGATTTCCCACTTGATCAGGCCATAGTTTATTCAACCAAGAGTGAAAAGCTCATTGAAGTTCGGCTCTTCTGAATTTGAATTCTTATGTCCTAGACTCTGGAATTTGAACTGAGTTGATATATACTAGGGAGCTGCAGCATGGCTGCGTTTTGTCACTTTGCAGAAAGAAAAGAAAGAAGTTAAAGAGAGAAAAGAAGAGGTGAGAAGGTATTAAATAGTCTCAGAGAGGATTTTTACTTCTTTCCATTTCATAGTCTGCATCCCTGAAGCAACCGTTGGGTTCTTTTACCCTAGATCTTTCCAATAAAACCTCTTTTGTGTTTGACAAGTATGCATGGGTTTCTTTTCCTTGGAACCTTGAATAAAATGTAATTTAATTATAAAATGGCTTTGAATAAGATATAGAGGAGAACACAAAGAACTTGGGTAAGATAACCTACAATGATTGGAAGGTGATAGGAGCAGCTAATTATAATTATTAGTCCAAGAGAAAATCATTAGAATTCAGAGGCTTCTATGATGGAGAGTATATTAGTCAGGGTTCTCTAAAGGGACAGAACTAATAGGATAGATATATAAAGGGGAGTTTATGGAGTAGTATTAACTCACACAATCACAAGGTCCCGCAATAGGCCATCTGCAAGCTAAGTAGCAAGGAAGCCAGTCCAAGTCCCAAAGCTGAAGAACCTGGAGTCTGATGTTTGAGGGCAGAAAGCATCCAGCATGGGAGAAAGATGTAGGCTGGGAGGCTAGGCCAGTCTAGCCTTTTCACGTTTTTCTGTCTGCTTTATATTCTAGCTGTGCTGGCAGCTGATTAGATGGTGTCTACCCAGATTAAGGTTGGGTCCGCCTTTCCCAGCCCACTGTCTCAAATGTTAATCTCCTTTGGCAACACCCTCACAGACATACCTGGGATCAATAGTTTGCATCCTTCAATTCAATCAAGTTGACACTCAGTATTAACCATCACAGAGGGGCTCAGCCCATGAGCAGCTGCAATGTGGCTTGCAGCAGTTGGAGCTCAGGGAACCTATAAAGATGAGGATCTGGTAACTGAGAAGACCTAAAACATCAGAGAGTCTATCAAGGTCATGGACAGAAATACAGCTTTCCTAGGGACAGAGACAACTAAGAGAAGCAACTTACTATTGGACTGGGAATAGAAGTGCAGAAAATATAGCAATAAGGACAGTTTCAGCTACAGGTAGTCAGTCAGTTAACAAGAAGTGGTGATAGGAAGTCAGCAGTGACTAGCTGGGACTGAATAGCATTTAAATCTATCAAATTAATTGTATTTAAAAATTTGTTTATAAGTAACTTACCTAATTTGTACATGGCTTTTAACTTGACATTCCTTTAAAGTGTAGTAATAAAATAGCTTTGTAAGCCAGATGCCAGCTGGGTCCTCCCAGTTCTACAAATTAGAGTCTATCCAACCATCCTCAAATCCCAAGTTTCATTCTCAAACACATCAAGGTTCTTGGCAGAAGAGTGTACTGATTAACAAGCTCTACTCTACTCGGAGGTGCTGCAGTGACCAGAATTGCTCTCTTCTGGAGTATCTGTGTGTTGCAGCCCAGTGAATTATGCAGGGAAAATAGATTGGTAACATCTGGTGTGGCCCCTCCTGGGAGAATTTGCATTATAAAAAGGGAATATTGAAGGCACTCACAAAGCCATGCACTCCTGGTAATTTTTTTTTCCTTTCTGAACTCTCTTTTCTCTAGCTGTGGAGAAGACACCTGAAGAATTGGCATACCATTTGTAAATGGATCTAACCCCTGACTGGAGTTGTTGTTGTTGTTGTTGGTTGTTTGTTTGTTTGAGATGGAGTCTCGCTCTGTCACCAGACTGGAGTGCAGTGGCACGATCTCGGCTCACCACAACCTCTGACTCCCTAGTTCAAGCGATTCTCCTGCCTCAGCCTCCTGAGTAGCTGGGATTACAGGCACGTGCCACTATGCCCAGCTAAGTTTTGTAGTTTTAGTAGAGATGAAGTTTCACCATGTTGTTCAGGATGGTCTTGATCTCCTGACCTCATGATCTGCCTGCCTTGGCCTCCCAAAGTGCTGGGATTACAGGCATGAGCCACCGTGCCTGGCCTGGAGTTCTTGAGATAATTATCTACAGTGCAACTTTGTTGATCAAGTACAAAATATTTACCAGCCCATGAATATATTCAAAAGACAACTGCCCTTCAAGAAAGTAAATATATAGTCAAACAACATCTTTATTAATTTAAAAAAATTGCAACCACAATACATGTTCCTTTTATATAGTTAAACCCTAAAGCTGTTTTTCTAATTTATAGACTTATAGAATTATATAAATATCCTATACTAAGACTAATTACATAAACACTACTAAAGACACATTTTGATTCAACTGTGGAAAAAGCTTTTCTTCTCCTGATTAGGAGAAAAGAAACCCCTTGTGTTTCATATTCAACTATTACAAGCAGAGTTGCATACACCTATTTACTTAAAAAGATTTGCCTTTTGCCCTCAAAGTGCATTTTCTTTTGAAATCAGTAGGGTTCCCCCCGACCCATTTGTATTCTGGCTAGAACATGCTTTTGTTTGGCAAAACCTTCAGCAGTGTAGGTGATGCTGGAGAAATGATACAATTTAATGAACAAGCAATCTGTGAAATTGCAATTGTGTATTATATCACATTTCATACTCTATGTTCTCACATAGTGCCATGGCTCTTCTTAGAATTATATTTTCATTATTGTCCTTGGGAATAATAGATTAGAATTTTCTGTTATGTAACAGTGATTCATTATTAGATAGTGGCTTTCATACATGGTAATCAGGCTCCAGTAGACTTTACTATTGGATTGGTCCTTACTATGTAGCTAACGGGCCAATTTGTTATGCCAGGATTTTCTCTAGTGTGATCTACAGCCGACCCGTCTGAAAATCATTTGGGTTTTTTTTTTTTTTTTAGATGTGTGAGCATTACCCTAAATCTGCTGAATCACAATCTCTTCATCCCAGTTACCTATCAGTTTCTCTACTCTTTGGGCAGTAGTTCTCAGACTTGACTACACATTGGAATCACCTAGGATGCTTCAAATGTAATGATGTCTGGGTCCATCTCCAGGAAACAAGAGTCTTAAAGGATGTATTAAGCAAAAAATGTAAAGAAGTAAGTAGGTAGACTTTGATATTGTTGACTCTTTTGTCTCTTGTTCCTTTCCCTCTGCAAATACAAAAGAAAATTAGCCAGGTGTGGTGGCATGCACCTGTGATCCCAGCTACTTGGGAGGCTGAGGCAGGAGAACCACTTGAACCTGGGAGATGGAGGTTGCAGTGAGCCGAGATCATGCCATTGTACTCCAGTCTGGGCAAAGGAGCGAGACTCTGTCTCAAAAAAAAAAAAAAAAAAGATAAATCCAAGTTCCCCGTCTCATCATCTTGCCACACTCTGCTGCCTTATTGCCTTCACTTTAGCTTTTCTATCTTTGAAATGCCTTCCTTCTCATTCTCTCTCTATCTGGGGAAGTGTTACTCATTCTTAAAGTTTAGTTCATGTATCATTTTGTTGTGTAACTTTCTGAAGCAGCTCTTTCTCTAAATAGAATTGTTGGATTGTTTGTACATGCTTCCACAGCATCTTGAACCTATTTTAATGGCACGTCTTTCCAAATTGCATTATAGCTAGCTGTTTTCACAATTGTACTCTCTGACTGGTGAATTGCTGGCTTCAAAGTTGTGTGTAGATCAATTCAACAGACACTTAATGAGTGGCCATGAGTGCCAGGTCTTGGGCTAAGCAGCACAAAGATGAATCATATTTTCTCTACCCTCTCTGCCCTCTAGGAGCTCACACTGTAGTGGGGAAGATAGACAAATCATTACAATATCCCTGGATAGATGTTATAAAATACAGATACACAGTGCTAAAGAAAACTCTTAAGTGTCTAGGGATGTTGTAGAAGACTTTATAAAATTGGGACTTAAATGATGAATAATTTGAAAAGAGTTTTAAATTCCATCATTGGGAAATCACAGGAAGGCTGTTCTAGGCTGGGGAACAGCATTTGCAAAGGTAACTGAAACATAAATGTTCACAGCACATTCAGGGAAATACCATATAGAAAGGAAAGGCTGCTGTTTAAGATGGACATATTTAATTCCTGGATGCTAGGATTATTCTTAATTGTTAAAGGAAGTTAAACTACTTGGGCAAACAACTAATCTTTGTCAAAATACTGTCAGAAAAGTCTTAGTCCATCAATACAGTTGGAGATATTATTCTGGCTAGGAGCAACTCTTGATTTCCTGCAGAATGACATTGATGTGTTGTTATAAGCTGCATAGCACCCATTTTAATCTTAGGCCAACTCCAAAAGGCTGCACACATTCCTGTGATTATTTCAAGGTACAAATTTCTACATGTGGAGGAAAAAAATATTAAGTTTTGAATCCATTAGACCTGGGTTTGAATCTAGCCTCTTTCATTTTATTAAGTCAGTGGCTAAGTTACTTGCTTTCTGTGGGTTTCAATTTCTTTGTAAAATGAGGATAAAAATAGATACCTCATGTGGTTGTATGGATGATTGAATTAAATAATGCGTGTAAAGCATTTAGCACAGTACCTGGCACATTAAAGGAACTCAGAAAACCCCAAACCTCCAAAAATTGAAAAAAAAAAAAAAAAAAAAAAGAAAAATAGCAGGTTGGCCCACAGCCAGAGAGAAAAATGCCAGAAGGAATTTTGGAGCAGATATCAGCTGCTTGCTCCTCCTTTGATCTGGTGAGTAGTATCATTCCATAACGTGCTGAGCTTGGCCAAGCAGCTCAAGAGTTAATTTTCAACCCCAATGCCCTCTCCCAGTTTAGATTCAGGCTACCTGAGTTCAGAGTTTCCTGTGTTCCAGGTGAGCAGGACTCGCCCACCTCCTCCTGCTCAGCACTGCTTTCAAATAAGGGCACCTGGAGAAGAGAAAGAAGGTGGTTTAATCTGTAGGTCAGTAAATATCTCAGGGCTGGGCAGAGAGCAAGGATTTATAAGATGAAAGAGGACAGGCTTTCTGATTTGTGTCTGGCTCCCCCAAACCCTGAACAATCTGTTTCTATTTAAAACAAAAAGCCAAACATGTTTCTTTTAAGCTGGTTTAAGAGAATAGTGATGACTAAGGCAGTATATTTATTTCAGCTGTCACAGGAATAATTAACTCTTGAACATTTTTTGGTTAATTCTCCTGTATTTTTGAAAATACTGTGGTTCCCTTCCTAGGGACTCTTGAAAAGAAACTCATTTTGGGGTATTAAGATATCAGAGGAGCAAGTTCTCAATTCTTAAAACTTTCCTTGTTCAAAAACATTAGAAAGTTTTGTTGAAAGGACATAGATCTAAAGATGGTTGAGTAGGGATTACACAAATTAATGAAGGGACAAATGGAAATCACATTCACTCACTCGAAAAACAATTAAGCACCTATTTTGTAGCAGAGACTATAGATACAATTCTGGGTTAACAAAGAAGAATGAGATGTACCTGTCATCTATTTCTTAACAGCTTGGGGGGTTGCAGACAGGTAAGCACATCCTTACAACACAGTGTGATAAAGTGTGATTGTAGAAGTACAAGGTGGCACAGGAGAGGACTTGGAAACTCATTGGATGAGCTGAATTTAGCCAGATAAAGAGAGGGGTAGAAAGATTGTCATATCTTAATGCTTGGAAATAAGAGTGGAGTGGATTTGAGGAATGAGATTCATGTTAATGTATCTGGATCCCAAATGTAACAGGAGGAATGGCTAAAGATGAGGCTAGCAGGATACCCATTATCTTTCTTTCAGGAGCTTGTGCTGGTCTGGATTTAGGATTGAGGGGAAGGTAAATCTCCTTGTAGATTTTGGGCCCAAGCCACACACTCCAAGGGAATCTTGCCAGAAAGATGTGTAACGTGGTTCCTTGTTTCCCCTTTTGCTGTTGTTCCATGTGTGAATAGCTTCCAAAGAAAACTCAAGGGATGCTTGATGCAGTTGGATTTAGGTATTTCTCGGTCAATTAACAAAAAATCAGAACTTCACCTCAAGTCTCAACTACTGGGATGTTGGCATCCTTGGCAGGTAGAATCCAGTATTTGATGTATCAACTAATAAATTTAAGATGAGGGAAACTATGATGGGAATGGGCCTTAGGTACAACGGATTCCTGAGCGTTTAGCCATTGATTAATAATTACCAATTATCTTTACCTTGTCTTTATGAGTTGAAAGATGAGGAGGGAGGAGAATACCAGAAGAACAGATCTATAAATAATGAGCTATCTCAAATGCTGATCTGAACTACTGGAGATGTGGCTGTTTTAATACTTACCACTTAAATATATAGCTGTTTGCTTTCTTTAAAAATATAGCTCAGTATTCTTCCTAGAACACTCATGAATAATCGTCTTAAAAGAGTCATTAAATAAAATAATTAAAAAGGACTTAAGAGATTTTGTGGGGGGTCCAATACCTTTATTTTACAGATGAAATCTTTGCCTCAGAAATGTGAAGTGGTACATCTGGTCTACCTGCTGCCTCAGGGTTTTTTTTTTTTTTTTTTTTGAGATGGAGTCTCGCTCTGTCACCCAGGCTGGAGTGAAGTGGCACAATCTCAGCTCACTGCAACCTCTGCCTCCTGGGTTCAAGTGATTCTTCTTTCCCAGTCTCCCGAGTAGTTGGGATTACAGGCCTGCACCACCAAGCCTGGCTAAATTTTTTGTTGTTGTTGTTGTATTTTTAGTAGAGACGAGGTTTCACCATACTGGCCAGGCTGGTCTCGAACTCCTGACCTTGGGATCTGCCCACCTCAGCCTCCCAAAGTGCGGGGATTACAGGTGTGAGCCACTGCACCAGGCCCCACCTCAGGGCTTTTATACCTACTGTTCCCTTGCTGTTCCCTCCATCAGGAATATTTCCCCCACTTTGCTTTGCTTGTCACCTCATCATTCAGGACTTTACCCAATAATTATTGAATTCCTTAACTAAAATAACTTCTGACCAATTTCTCTTTTTATCCATACCTGTTTTATTTTCTGTATTGCATATACATTTTCTGAAACATTTTGTTTTCTTGTTTATTGACTGTATCTTTCACTAGAATTTAAGTAAGGATTTGTCTTAATTATTGCTGTAACCCCAGCATATAAAACTGTGCCAGGCAAGAAAAAATGAAATACCAAGGAATACATCTAACCAAGAAGATGAATTTCTATACCAGGAGAACTACAAAATGCTGATGAAAGAAATGAGAGGTGATACAAATAAGTGGAGAAACATTCCACGCTCATGGATTGGAGGAATGAATGCCATTAAAATGGCCGTACTACCCAAAGAAATTTATAGATTAAACACTAATCCTATCAAATTCCCAATGTCATTTTTCACAGAAGTTGAAAAAACTATTCAAAAATTCATATGGAAACAGGCTGGGCGCAGTGGCTCACACCTATAATCCCAGCCCATTGGGAGGTTGAGGTGGGTGGATCACTTGAGGTCAGGAGTTTGAGACAAGCCTGGCCAACATGGGGAAACCCTGTCTCTACTAAAAATACAAAAATTAGCCAGGTCTCGTGGAGGGTGCCTGTAATCCCAGCTACTTGGGAGGCTGAGGCAGGAGAATTGCTTGAACCCGGGAGGCAGAGGTTGCAATGAGCTGAGATGGCACCACTGCACTCCAGCCTGGGCAACAGAGTGAGACTCTTTCTAAAAATATATATGTATAAATAAATAAATACAATAAAATTGATGTGGAACCAAAAAAGAGTCAAAATAGCCAAAGCAATCCTAAGCAAAAAGAACAAAGGCAGAGGCATCACATTACCCAACTTCAAACTATACCATAAGACTACAGTAACCAAAACAGCATGGTTGTGGTACAAAGACAGACACATAGACCAATGGAACAAAATAGAGAACCCAGAAATAAAGCTACTGTGGAGACTATTCAGGAGGCTTATTCATGAAGTTGGCCCCATCTGCAACTTCTGCTACCCACATTCTTGTTCTTGGGCTTTTCTTTCCAAAGCACACTCAAGTTAGTGCCCTTGGAAATGTTAGACATATTCCATATCTTTTGAAGGCATCCCACTACGATTTTAAGCCGAAACCAATTTGCCTTTTAGAATAATTTAAATTTCCCTGCGACGAATAGAATACATGGAAACAATAATTAATTTTTGGCTCCGAGCATTTTTTATAAAACTGAACGTAGGCTGTAAAGTCAAGGTTTTCATTTTAGATTTATAGCTTCTCGAAGTCAGGGACCATCTCTTAATCATCATTGTCTCCCCAGTGCCCAGTACAGCCTCTACTACATAATAAATGCTGTGTTTGCTGAAGCAGTGATTGAGTAAATGAATGAACACTCACCATGTAATAGCAATTTTCTCCTTGATTGTTGGTGCCTGTACCTGCCAGACCCATCCCTAGACAGAGTTTTTCAACCTCCACACTATTCACATTTTGCACTGATCATTCTTTGTTGCTATCCTGTGCATGTAGGATGTTTAGCAGCATTTCTAGCCTCTACTTGCTAAATGCTGGTAGCTCCCCACAACCCCAAACCCTACACCTATCATGACAATAAAAAATGTCTCTAGACATTGCCAAATGTTCCCTGGGGGACAAAATTGCCCCTATTGGAGAACCACTAAGCGACAAGAATAGGAGCCCTATAATTTGAGGCCAGCTCTGCTTAATCTGAGCTGATAAGGACTAAGCCTGAACATATATTATTAAGAGTCAGAAGAATATTTTTATTCTGTAGGATTCATGATGAAATTGAGAAATGGTTTGTAGCTTAAAAAGCCTTCAATGAACCCTGAATTCTCTTCCTAGTTCAGCATTTTCTCCCAGGCCCCATTCTGGGTGCTCAGTCTTTATGACTGGCTTCTGTCTGTGTTTCTGATTTGTGCTCTTTTTTTATGCTGGAATTCAAGCATGGTTCCGATCCCTGATCCCTTGGTTGAGGAGCTGATTGCTGCTCAGCTTCTACCCCTGTGGGTTGGACCCTGCTCAGTACACAAGGCATTGTTGCCTGAGTTGCTGTTTAACTCCAGAGGAACTCACCTCCTTGGACTTCTGGCTGCAACCTGTTTGACTAGGTGTTACTGCTGCCTAATCTCTTCTGTTGTGCTTCCCTACCCCAAAACGGATCCAAGCGTATTTTCATTACCTCAGAGGTGACTTGACTTTTCTAAATCCTTTGTGATAATGAAATTAGCACCGTTGGCCAGCTTCCTTTGGAGTTAGCCCTGCTTTTACTTAGCTTCATTTGCCCCAGGACCATCAATTCTGGCCTCTTAGCCTTTTCTTGCCAATTCACTGAAAGTTGTAATTGTCAGTGTTGAAAATTTGTTTTCCCTGGGCATGTACGCTAGACTCCCTTCCCTCCTCACCAAGGACTTAATGTTCAGCAACTTCGGGGTGATCTATGCAGGCTGCCTGACTTTTTTTGGTCCTGTTAATCAGATTCTCCAGCCCTCAGAGGCACCTCTTTTGTCTGCTGGCCCTAACCACAGAGAACTGTTAAAGAAAGGCTCATAATTAAACCCAAATGGGACACAAAAAACTTATGTTTCCTTCCTGATCACTGTACATCAGCTCTGCTATTTGTTCTTGTCTATTACCTGCCTAATTCCATCCCCTAACAATTGTTTCAAATACATTCCTTTCTCTATAAGCCCCCAAGCTTTCTTTACCACTGGGGAAACACTGACAGTCTTTCTTTTGCAAGATTAAGGCTATTTTTCCACTCCACTTTAACATATTCAAGTTTCTCTATCTACATTTGATTCTTCCTTCCAGGCTCAGCTAAAATGTGCCCTTTCTCTCCTTTCTGGGCTCCTCTACCAGGTTGAGGACCTGTATTTGTTTGACTTAGAATAGCTTCTTTATACACTTAGGGGCAAAGTCCAGTTACATCCTGCTTTTCCTCATGCAGAGTTGACAAAATGGAATGCCTTCCTTTATGCAGCCTCTCCTTTTCATTTTGCTGTGAAGGGGTAAAGAAAACACAATGTATTGTATTTATTAGCTTAGCTGCTAATTTTTTTTTCTCCCTGATACCTCTAGGCTAGTGCTGAGCATATAGCACAAACTGGAATACTAAAATTACTGATCAGTTGACAGATTAAAGTAACACCTGACTCTTGTTTGGCCCAATTTATCTCTTCCTTTTAAAGAACAACCATGTTCCTGGCATAGTTCATCTGGTTTGGTTAATTGCCTCCATTCCTGATTTACCTTTTTTTTTCCTTCTCCTTAATCAGCCATCAGTTTTCTCTGGTACTTATGGTTGGAAACCCTTTAGCCCACAGAAAAGATCTTCTACTTAAATCAATTTCCACCAGTTAGCTCTTAAATGCAGTTCTTAAGAAATTGGTAGAAAATTTATTTTTGTAGCCACCCACAGAAAACCAGTGTGGGTTTGGTTATACAGTGAGCAAATATTCAGTTCATCAACTGAATAGGCCTTATAATTCACAATATTTCCAATAGTTTTGCTTCATTTTGTTTTGTTAGTAAATAATTCTTGTTTGGCTGCCTGCGTATGGCTCAATGTTGGAGGAATAATTTACCCATGTTGCTGGGCGAGTCAGTTAATCCCTCTTTATTCCAGTGGTGCTCAATAGGTCTCTATTGTCCCCTGATATTCAAGACCATCTGTAATGGATCCGAAAATGATCTGAGACATGGATTTTTGAAGTGATAGCTAAGGTATTTCTAATGTTTTTGAAGGGTGATATGAAATGGCATTAAGAATACTGTACTGAAATTCAGGACATTTTGGGTTTAGTCCTTAAATCTGACAATATCTTAAAATGAGATCATCTTTAATCCTGCTGTGTCTCAAGTTTATCTTTTGGAAAATGAAGTTTCCTGTCAACTAAACATTTTCTGGTTTCTTACATTTCCAGTAGTACTGTGAAAGGAATATTTTAGAGACTCCTTCTCCCCATTTCTCTGTCATTTCACTGTGATACACCTTGCTATGAATCTCTTTATGAAAGTTATTTTTCTGGGCAATCTATAGGTCATGTAAATTTGGTGACATATGTCTTAGAAATCTTCTCATATTATCTGAGCTTCAGAATTTTGATGGAGCTGGTCCTAAGTCATATGCCCTGAAAGTATATGGAGGTTAAATTTAGAGAATCTTGTTTGTATAGAAGACAAGACTAAAGTGCAGTCTTGGATTGGCAATATTTGGAGGGAAATTGGCTGAAAATTTTTCTGAGTTGAAGGAGACATGAGTTCTTTGATAGAAAGTGCATTTCAAGTTTCAAGTAACTTAAATAAAATAAATCCACCTCAGAGCAAAACTTGCAGAATATCAAGGATAAAGAGAAAATCTCAAGGACTACCTGATCCCAAAGAAAGATTACGTTCCAAGAAAATGAGATGGCCAATAGACTTCTCATCTAATCATAGATTCCAGACGATACGAAGTAAATATCTTCAAAGTCCTAAGGGGAAAATGACTGACAACCTTCAAATCTGATCGCTAGGTAAATGGTTATTCAAGGGTGAGGGTAAACTAAAGACATTTTCTGGCAGGCATTCCACCCACAATCCCTTTTTCAGAGAACAAGGACACCATAAAGACAAGTATACCCAGAGGGGACAGGAGAGATGTAAAAAACACGGTGAGCACAGAAGTTAAAAGATGTTGGTAAATTTAAAGGAACAATTCGACTATTAAAAATAATAGCATCTTGTGTTTAAAAATAAGAAATAAAAGCTAGATAGGAACAACTTTATGGAGGTGGGAAATGTTCAAGTGTTCCAGGGTCATTGTCTTGTCTGTTAAGAGGGGGGATAATATTAAGTGATTTAGACTCTGTTAGAAAAACATATAGCTAAGTACATATGTTCAGGGAAACCACTAGAAGAACAAGAATATAATCGATAGCTTCTACACCATAAAAAAACCATGTCACCTAACCCATGGCAGGAATGGAGGGAGCAGAAAAACCACTAAACAAAAAACAAACAAAAAAAGATGGGTGAAATATATGTAAGTGCAGAAAGAATAATGACTGCCAAACATATTTTTAATCACGGGTTGCATATTATAGACATTTGGATTACTCTAGATTTTTTTTTTCTTTTGGGGGTTTAGAAGGAACAGCAAGGAGGTGAAAGCCCTTCAAGATACTGGGATTATGAGAGCTATTTTACTCTCATACCAATTGTTAGTTTGAATTTGAAAACTTTCTTTAATATTATAGATAATGTAATTTCAGACAGATTTCCAAGTTTTCCCCATATAATCTAGAAAATGGCTATAGAAAAACCATTTTCATTTAATACCGAAAAGAAGAAGGAAAAAACCTTGCATTCCCTCTTAAACACCTGGCATCTGGTGTTTCATTCCACTTCCCAGATGGACTCCTTTAATAGAGCTCTTTATAGACAGCCCATAGGTTAGGAACACCAAATAGTACACTGCAATTTTAGAGATGGTTGTCTGTGTTTACTATAATTATAGAGGTATTTAAAACTTTTGCATTTTCCCATTGGGAGAGAAAAATAGAAGGATTTGGGGGTAATCAGTTGTTATGGACACATCTTGAAGTTAAATTGAAGCTATGTTTAGTTTGCCTGTAGCAGAGTCTGACTTCAAAAAGAGCACCGGATTTTGAAAGCTGTATATTTGCAAATATTCTAAATTCAGTTGCTAACCAGCTACCGACCTACAAAAACCAGGCAATCAATAGATTATGCTTTGTGCTGTTGATGAGGCTTAAATTTTCAATGTAATCAATCCATTATGTCTATTTAATTAGTAGTTGTTTTCTTCTTAAGAAATTATTAGATGACTGATTTTTATTTTTATTTTTTACTTGCGCTTGAGTTTACTTTTTTATTCTCAAGTCAAATTATAGGTCACTGAGTTACTGGTATTAATATACGTAGGAATTCCCTAGTTTAAACCTTTATAACACAGAAGATGACACTGAGGGTCAAAGAGGAAATGCAATTTTCTCAAATTCTTAGGATTCATTAGTGGCAGAGATTTGGCCTGAAACCTTGAAAATTTGTGGGTTGCTTTCATTTAGAGTCCCTTATAATATGTCCAAAGGAGGGTGGCCATATTACCATTTTGACAAGGGTTATTTTATCACTTCAATATTTAACAAATTCATTTGTATCTGTGACACATCCTACTGATGAACAATAAACTATCAGTAGAAATTTAGTGAAGTAATTTATTGACCAGTTTGTTGTCAAATGTTGTACCTTCTGTCCACTGACTAATTCACAAGAGGAAAATAATTTAGGAAATTCCCAGATTTAGCCTTCTGATTGATGTTGTGTAAAACAGTGGTTTGTTATTATTTTTAAATTATAGAATATTTCATGCACACAAAAAGGTTAAAAATCTAATAGGAAGTCATGTTTCTACCTACCACAACATTTAATACATATTTCACTCAAACATAGCTTTTAGTTCTATCCATGCTAATACATGAAAATTAGGTTCACTAAAAAAAATTACAATGTAGTATTCAATTGTATGATTCATTTTGTATTCCCAAAGATAATATATAGGTTTATAAAAATTTAATTTTGCTTTCATAAATAGTACTGTAATTAACATCCTTGTATACTCTTCTTAGTACACATATGGGAATGTTTTTACAATATATAACTAGAAGTGGAAGAACTGGCTAAAAATTATTTCTTTGGTTTTATCAGATACTGCCTTTTAGAACATAGTTGTATCAATTTTCCCTCCTGCCAGCACATATGAGAGATACTGTTTCTCCTGTCTTCATACATCCTTCAAAATATCAAACTTTAAAATGTTTATCAGTCTTTTGAGGATGAAGTGGCATCCCATAGTTTTAATTCGCATTTCTTTTGTTACTGTTGTAGACGACATTTTCAACATTTTTAATTGCATCTTGCTTTCCTCTGGTCATAGCCTTCTGTGGTTTTCTACTGAGCTTTTAAAAAGTTTTAATTGATTTGTTAACATTATTTATCTATTCTGGTCCTATTCTTTATTTGTTATGTGTGTTGCAAATATATTTTCCCAGTATATGGTTTGTCTTTTTTTGTGTGGTTATGATATCTTCTGCATATGGAAATTTAAAATCTTAACGAAGTCAAGTGTATCAGTCTTTTTTTTTTTAAAGGCTTGTCCTTATTTTGTCTTATTTACAAAAGCCTTTCTTATATTCTCCAATATTTCCTTTTAAAAGGGTTAAAACTTTGCTTTTCTCATTTAGGTCTTTAATCTATCTGGAATATAATTTTGAACATGTTTTACATTTTTCCATGTGGATAAATAATTGTCCTTGTACTGTTTATTTAACTGTCTGTCATTTCCATCCATCTGGCAAATACGAAGTTTCCCTATGTCTTAGTCTATTTTCTGCAGCTATATCAGAATACCTGAGACTGTATAATTTATAATGAATAATATTTATTCTTAACAGTTCTGGAGGCTAAGTCCAAGGTCAAGACACTGGCATCTGGCAAGGGCCTTCTTGCTACATCATTCCATGGTGGAAGGTGGAAGGGCAAGACAGCATGCATGAGTATGCATGCTTGCATTAGAAAGAGAGAGAGAGAGAGGAGAAAGACAGACACACACAGAGAAAGAGAGTGTGTGTGAAAGAGTAAGAGTGAGAAAGAGAGAGAGAGACAGAGAAAGAAAGAGAGATACAGAGAGAGAGAGAGAGAGCAAGCAAGAGAGGACTGAACTCACTTTATAACAAATCTACCCCCACAATAATGAATCCCCTCCTGTGATTATGACATTAGTCTATTCATAGAGGCAGAGGCTTCCTGACCTGATCACCTCTTAAGTCCCCATCTCTCAATGCTGTTGCATTGGGGATCAAGTTTTCAACATATGAACTTTGGAGGACACATTCAAACCATAGCACTCTATAAATGTGGATCTTTTCCTGGGCTCAATTTTGTTTCATTAGTCTGTTTATTTCTTCCTGCATATACTGCAGGAATACATTTATTTACTACAGATTTGTAATAATTGTCTTGATATTTGATGGGACATAACCACTTCATCTCTTCTTCTTCCACTCAAAATTGTCTTAGTTGTCTTATCCTTTTATTTTTCATAGAAATTTTAGAATCAGCTTTATAACAATGGTGTTGAAATTTTGATTGCAATTGCATTGAAGTTATAGTTTAACTTGGGGAGAATGGCTACTTTTATGATATTGAGTCTTCTCCACAAACATGATATATTTATGCCTTTTCTTATGAGTTTCGTATTATTATTAAATTTTTCTATAGAATTATCTTGAATATATTTGGTTAGATGTACACTTAGGATTTTTTTTTTTTTTTTTTAAGACAGAGTCTCGCTCTGTCAGCCAGGCTGGAGTGCAATGGCACCATCACGGCTCACTGCAACCTCCACCTTCCAGGTTCAAGTGATTCTCCTGTCTCAGCCTCCTATGTAGCTGGGATTACAGGAGTGTGCCACCATGCCTGGCTAATTTTTGTATTTTTAATAGAGACAGGGTTTCACCACGATGGCCAGGCTGGTCTCGAACTCCTGACCCCAGGTGATCCACTCACCTTGGCCCCCCAAAGTGCTGGGGTTACAGGTGTGAGCCACCGCGCCCAGCCTACTTAGGTTTTTTTAAAAGTTTTTGCTGTTTTTACTTTTCACATTTTAAAAAAAATTTTCAACTTTTTAATTTTAGATTCAGTGGGTACAGGTACAGATTAGTTACATAGGTATATCATGTGATGCTGAGGTTTGGAGTACAATTGAACCCCTTACGCAGGTATTGTGCATAGTACCTAATAGTTTTTCAACTCTTGTCCCCTTCCTACTTCCCCCTTCTAGTAGTTCTCAGTGTCTATTGTTGCCATCTTTATGTCCATGAGTACCCAATGTTTAGCTCCCACTTATAAGTAAGAACATGTGTTATTTGGTTTCCTGTTCCTGTGTTAGTTTGCTTAGGATAATGGCCTCCAGCTGCATCCATGTTGCTGCAAAGGATATGATTTCATTCTTTTTTATGGCTGTATAGTATTCCATAGTGTATATGTACTCATTTTCTTTATCCAGTCCACCATTGATGGGTACCTAGGTAGATTCCATGTCTTCGCTATTGTGAATACTACTATGTTGAACATACAAGTGAATATATCTTTTTGCTAGAATGATTTATTTTCCTTTGGATATATACCCAGCAATGGGATTGTTGGATTGAATAGTAGTTCTGGGCCAAGTGTGGTGGCTTGTACCTATAATCCCAGCATTTTGGGAGGCTGAGGCAGGCGGATCACCTGAGGTCAGGAGTTTGAGAACAGCCTGGCCAACATGCCGAGACCTCATCTCTCCTAAAAATGCAAAAAAAAAAATTAGCCAGGCATGGTGGTGCATGCCTGTAGTCCCAGCTACTTGGGAGGCTGAGGCATGAGAATCGCTTGAACCTGGGCAGCAGAGGTTTCAGTGAGCTGAGATCGTGCCACTGCACTCCAGCCTGGGTGACAGAGCAATACTCTATCTCAATTAAAAAACGAAAAATAGTAGTTCTGTTTTAAGTTCTCTGAGAAATCTCCAAAGGGCTTTCCACAGTGGCTGACCTAATTTATATTCCCACCAACACTATATAAGCATTTCCTTTTCTCCACAGTCTTGCCAGCATCTGTTGTTTTTTGATGTTTTAATTAAAGTCATTTTGACTGGTGTGAAATGGTATCGCATTGTGGTTTTGGTTTGCTTTTCTCTGATGATTAGTGATGTTGAACATTTTTTCATATGTTTGTTGGTAGCTTGCATGTTTTCTTTTGAAAAGTGTCTGTTCATGTTTTTTTGTCCACTTTTAATAAGATTGGCTTTTGCTTATTGAATTAAGTTCCTTATCGATTCTGGATGTTAGACTTAAGTTGGATTTACAGTTTGCAAAAATTTTCTCCCATTCTGTAGGTTGTCTGTTTACCCTGTTGATAGTTTCTTTTGCTGTGCAGAAGCTGTTTAGTTTAATTAGGCTCTACTTGTCAATTTTTGTTTTTGTCGCAATTGCTTTTAAGGCCTTAGTCATAAATTATCTCTCAAAGCCGATGTCTGGGACAGTGTTTTTGAAGTTTTCTTCTAGGATTTTTATAGTTTGAATTCTTTCACTTAAGTCTTTAATTCATCTTGAATTAATTTTTGTATATTGTGATAGGTAGGTGTCCAGTTTCATTCTTCTGCATATGGCTCACCAGCTATTCTGGCATCATGTATTGAATAGGGAGTCCTTTCCCTACTGCTTATTTTGTTGATTTTGCTGAAGATCAGATAGCTGTAGGTATGTGGCTTTATTTCAGGGATCTCTATTCTGTTATATTGGCCTATGTGTCTATTTTTGTATCAGAACCATGCTGTTTTGGTTATTGTAGCCTTGTAGTATAGTTTGAAGTTGGGTAATGTGATACCTCTGATCTTGTTCTTTGGCTATTTGGACTCTCTTTTGGGTCCATGTGTATTTTAGAATAATTTTTCCTAATTCTGTGAAAAATGACATTAGTATTTGATAGGAATAGTGTTGAATGGACAGTATGGCCATAATAATGATATTGTTTCTTCTAATCCATGAGCCTGGAATGTTTTTCCATTTGTTTGTGTCATCTCTGGTTTTTTTCAACAGTGTGTTTTAGTTCTCCTTGCAGGGTTCTTTCATCTCCTTGTTTAGATGTATTTTTAGATATTTTAATTTTCGTTAGCTATTGTAAATAGTTTGTGTTCTTGTTTTGACTCTCAGCTTGAACCAATTGTTAGTGAACACCTATTGTTAGTAAACACCAATTGTTATTGGTGTATAGAAATGCTACAGATTTTTATACATTGATTTTTGTATCCTGAAACATTACTGAAGTTGTTTATCAGTTCTAGGAGCCTTTTGGCAGAGTCTTCAGGAATAGATAGTTTGATTTCTTCTTTTCCTATGTGGATGCCCTTTATTTCTTCCTCTTGCCTGATTGCTCTGGTCAGGACTTCCAGTACTATTTTGAATAGAAGTAGTGTGAGTGGGCATTCATGTCTTGTTCCAGTTCTCAAGGGGAATGGTTCCAGCTTTTGCCTGTTCAGTATGATGCTGGCTGTGGGTTTGTCACGGATGGCTCTTATTATTTTGAGGTATGTACCTTCAGTGCCTAGTGTGTTGAGGTGGTTAGGATTTTTGTTCCTACAGTGGATGAAACCTTTAGAGAAAAAGATCTTATATTTTCTAATTGATTATTGCTAGTATATAGAAACATTGCTTATTTTTTATTTGCAAATTCTTTGTCTAGAAACCTACTTTTATTCATTGCAACAATTGTGTTTCTTTCATATCCTTGTATTTCTACTTTATTTTCTTATTTTATTGTACTGTATATGTAGACCAGTCAAATGTTGAATAAAGTCAGAAATGGCAGGCATGCATATCTTGTTTCTGAGTAGACCAGGGATATTTCTATTGTTTGCCACTAAGTATTAACTTTCATGTATTTTTAATAGATGTTCTTTATCAATTTTAGGAAATTCCCTTCTGTTCCCAGTTTGTTATAATTAAAAAACATTTTCTTCATGCAGTGGATGCATTTGGAGCCTTCGTGAATTGTTTTAGCTATCGGTTAAGGTTTACTTCTTTATGAAATAAGCCTAATTAAAATGTATTGCAGGCTGAAAATGTTATAACTATTGACTTACACTTTAAAATCAGGAAGAAAAGGAAGTATGAGTCACAGGAGAACCTAATTGCCCAAAAGATTCTATTTATTGAATGCTGAGGCTACGTTGGATTGGTGCATGCAGGCCTTGGATATTCAAGTTTTGAAGAAACAGGTATATCAATATAGTGGAGCCCAAAAGCCTGGTGAAACTTATGGGCTGTGAAGTTATGAACAGTTATCAACACAACTCACAAAAATATTTGTGGGAACACATGCCTACTTAACATGAGGGATTACAAAAGTGTTTGAAGTTCTGGAGCAAATAGCTTGGCTTAAGTAGCTTGTTTGAATCCAAAATCTGTATAGCAATTACGACTTTTTGTTAGAGGATAGGCTAAGTTAGTTCAGGTAGCCCGCTTCCTGTGCATGCGCACCTCGTTCCAGCCTGCCAGGAAAAATCACCAGCCTTTCCCCAGAGCTGTTTTCTTTCATTTTGAATGGACACAAGGATTAAGGGTCTCTGCAAGTCACTATCCCAGGTTTGTTCCCACATCAAAAATACCTGCTAAGCAGATCCTTGACATCAAGTCAGTTCAACTTTGCAAATGTTTACTGACAGCCTTTTTTTGTCCAATGTACTATCATCACGTGACATATGAAGATGAAGAACTCCAAAAGACTTTACAATTTAATTATAACAGGGAGCCAATAAGACTGAGTTTGAAATTTTTGGAGATAAAATGCTGCTATTTTGAGGTTGAATTCAATTTTGGCTTATAAAGTGAGAGGCAGGAATTAGTCTTCAGGGGAAATTTTTTGTCTTGGGAGGGATTATTTTGCTTTCAGTCATGCAGCTACCTACCTACTGTTTACAGAACTCTGAATGCAGTGTAGTAATATAATGTTATTGCTTCAGACTGAGTTAAAAATAATTTAAGTAAATTGAATGTACTAGCACAAGTGAGCTCCAGCAGAATTAGATAATTTTTCTCTCAAAATCTCAATGTAGATTGCCTTATAGATAGAAATAGATTTTTCTTTGATTATTTGTATGTGAGTGTGTTTGCAAAAACTGCTGTTTGCTTAAAAACTGTTTCCTCTTTTTTTCTGACCACAGAGCTAGACTATATTTTCCAACCTGCCTTACAATTAATTGTTTCCATGTGATTGGTTCTTGTAAAAAAAAAAAAAAATGTAAGTGGAAATGATGTGTGTCCCTTCCAGGCTAAGGCTTTTAAGAAGTGGAGTGGATGTATCTTCCTCACATTCTTTCCCTTTCCTTTGATAGGTGCAGTTGCTAGTAAGGGTTTAGAGGTGCCAGGTCATTTTCCTGTATGGGGCAATTCAGGGACTAAGGTGAAAGAAGCCCCATACAGGAAAATGACCTGTAGACTTGGAATATTATCTTTGACCATTAAATGAAAAAAAAATCAAATAACTTGTACTTTGTTGAAATTTTTGACCTTGTTTGTTATAGCTGTTCATCCTAACTCATACAATGTTCCCAGTACACTTCTTCATAGCAAATGGGCACTGGATCTTTATCACATTAACAGATAGGCTTATCTTTCCACTTAATATGTGAAGACAATGAAAAAGAACTGGATCAGATTTGGTGCAGGAAGCCATGGATTGAACTGTTGATATCTCACACATGGCACTTTGAAGACATTCTATTGTCTTCTGACTGAGAAGTTGTTGTTTAGTCCAATTCATGTTGCTGTATAGGTAATTAGGCTTTTCTTCTCTGTTGCATTTAAGATCCTCTCTTTGCCTGCAATATGTCTTGTTGTATGGATTTTTTTTCCTACTGGATATTTGTTAAACTTCCTAGGTCTAAGGAATTGTATGCTTCATCAATTGTGGAAAATTCTCAGACTTTCTATTTTTCACTTTTATCACTCATTCCTTCCCCTCCTTATTTTTCTTTTAAAGCTTCAATTAAACATGTGATTGGAGCTTCTCACTATATCTGCAATGTCTCTTAACTTCTCTTTGGTATCCCTGAGCTGAATTTTGAGTAGTTTCTTTCCTAGGTAAATAAATCACTTTTCAGCTATGCACAAATCACTGTTTATTTCATTCAATGAGATTTTCTAAAATTAACAAAGAATGAAAACAAAAACACTTTATTTGTTTAGAACTATTTTAGATTTACAGAAAAATTGAGAAGATAGTATAGACTTCCCATATACCCTGCGCCCAGTTTCCCCTAATATACACTCGTAGGGTATATTGATTGCAATTAATAAACTGATATTAATACACTAATGTCAACTAAAGTCCATATTTTATACAGGTTCTTTAGTTTGTACTTAATGTCCTTTTCCTGTGCCAGGACCTCATCCAGGATACCACATTACATTTGGTTGTCATGTTGCCTTAGGCTTCTCTTGATGTGACAGGTCTTCAGATTTTCCTTGTTAGATGGTGATCATGACAGCTTTGAGGAGTACTGGTCATGCCTTTTTTAAAATTGGGATTTATCTGATAGTTTTATCATCTTTAGACTGTGGTTATAAGTTTTTTCGAGGAAGAATACAGAAATAAAGTGCCATTTTCATCATATTATATCAAGGGTACATACTATCAACATAAGCTTATCATTGCTTACCTTGTGATGTTCATCTAGACAATGTGGGTGAGGTAATGTTTGTCAGGTTTCTCCACTGTAAAGTCACTCTCTCCTGATTTCCTACACCGTATCTTTGGAAGAAAGTCACTATATGCAGCCCACACTTAGGAGTGGGGAGTTATGTCGCACCTCCTTGGCGATAAACTATGTAATACATTATATAAAATTGTTCTTCATGAGAGAGTTGTCTCCTTTCCCCTATTTCTTTATTTAATTATTCATATCACTATAGATGCATGGATATTTATTCCATACTTAGGCTTATAATCTAATACTACCTTTTATTTTTTTCTCAAATCGTTTCAGTTTTGGCCACTGGGAGCTCTTTTGGGGCCATTTGTTACAGCAACCCATGTCACTCTATCTAATATAATGATTTGTGATAAAATATAAAAATTTAGCCAGCCATGGTGGCTCATGCCTATAATCCCAGCACTTTGGGAGGCTGAGGCGTGTGGATCACTTGAGGCCAGGAGTTCAAGACCAGCCTGGCCAGTGTGGTGAAACCCTGTCTCTACTGAAAATAGAAAATTAGCTGGGCATGGTGGTGCACGCTTGTAATCCCAGCTACTCGGGAGGCTGAGGCACAGGAATCACTTGAACCCGGGAGGTGGAGGTTGCAGTGAGCCAGGATTGCACCACTGCACTCCAGCCTGGGTGATAGAGCAAGACTCCCTCTCCAAAGAGAAAAAAAACTTGTCTTGCATTCTCTTTCTTTCTCTCTCTCTCTCTCTCTCTCTCTCTGTATACACACACACACACACACACACACACACACACACATATGTTATTCAGTATGTTTGAGAACTTTATTAAAATAAAAAGCAGAGTGGTGTTGCTTGTCATGGTACACCATTCATGTTCAAATTAATAGCAAGCTTGATGATCTAATATTCATCATCAAAAGACTAATTTCATTCAACCTATTTTTGAGAGACTACACGAATGTGTCACAAGGCACTAGAAAATTTATGTCGATTCCTGAGCCTGTATGGTCCATTGGTTTGGGAATCTGAAAACCAAGAATCAGAAGATGATTGTGTTAATTTACACCATCTGATCTAAGATAATTGCTTTTATTTTATTAACTACAAACCTCTAAATTAATACCCCCACACACATAAATACATGTATATACACACAAAAAAACTATGAATAAAACTCATATATGTGTATCCACACACACACAGTGAACTTGGGACAGGAAAGGAGATTTACACTTTCCAACTTTTAGTTTTTCCTACTGTCTAAATTTTTTCTGGGATTTTCATACTTTAAAAATAAAATATCAATTCATTCTATGAGTCCTGATATCAAAACCAGAGAGACATTACAGGAAAAGAAAATTATGGACCAATATCTCTTACGAATATAAATGTAAAATCTTCAGGAAAAAAGTCAGCAAACAAACCCAGCAGTTTATAAAAATAATTATGCACTGTGACCAAATTATGTTTACAGCAGGAATGCAAGGTTGGCTTAATGTCTGAAAATTATTTAATGTGATACATTATGTGACTCGAATAATAGAAAAAAAACACATAATCATGCCAAAAGATTCAGTAAAAGCATTTGACAAAATTCACCACTCCTTTATGAAAAAAAAGACAACTTAGGAATAGAAGGGAACTTCCTTAACCTGACAAATGGCCTTTAGGAAAAACCCACAGCTAACATTATATTTAGTGGTGAAGGATTTCTCATTAAAACATATTTTTCCAGAAAGACTGCTTTCCCCTTAAGATTAGTAACAAGATAAGGATATTCACTCTTGCTAATTCTATTCAACACTGTCAGTGGTTCTAGCCAGGGAAATTAGAGGTAAGGAAAGGAAAGAATAGGCATCCAGATCGGAAAAGGGGAAGCAGAACTATCTTTATTTGCAGATGACATAATCCTGTATTTAGAAAATGTAGAGTTCTAATTAGGGAAAATGAGTCAAGCTAGCAGGGGCAGGGGAAGGCAAAAAGAAAAGGTAGATAAGCTATAAGTCTGCCTTTCTTCATGATCCAGGGCAGACAGCCCTCCTGTGCAAATAACTCACAATCTTTCTGTGCCTAGCTATCACCAGACACCTCGGCTGATAGAAACATGCAAGTTAGCTTACTGCAACCTTGGCATTATCAGTACTGTGCAAAGCCCTATTTAGCACACAGCACAAGGTCCATCCTATAAAATTCCCAACAAACTTTTGTCTCCTTGCAGTTATCTCCCTTCTTGCTGACCTGCCTATTGCTTCCTTGCAACATATTTTAATACTTTCTCTAATAAATCTGCTTTTATTTACCTACAACCACTTTGGTAAATTCTTTATACCACCCTCATGACACCAGCCCCAGATAGTCACCACTTGCAACAGAAAATCCTAAGAAGAAAATCAGAAAATAATCTTCAGCAAAATGTCAAGCAAAATGTCAAGATACAAGATCAATAAGTGTAAAATATTGTATTTCTATACACCAGCAATAAACAATGCAAAAATAAAATCAAGGAAACTATTACATTTATAAAAGTCCTAAAAGAATAAATAACCTCAAAAAAGAAGAACATAGTTGGAAGTCTCATACTTCCTTATTTCATATCTTACTACAAAGCTATAGTAATCAAGACAGTATGATACTGGCATAAGGATGGACGTATAGAGCAGTGGAATTGAATTAAGAATCCAGAAATAACTGTAATATTTATGATTAATTGATTTTTGATAGGTTTTCAAGACATTTCATTGAGGGAAAGAATAGTCTTTTCAACAGATAATGCTGGGACAACTGGATGTCACATGCAAAAGCATGAAGTTGGACCCCTGCTTCACACAATATTACAAAAGCTAACTCAACGGGGATCAAATACTAAATGTAAGAAATGAAACAGAGACCGAAATGTAAAAATTAAAAGTGTAAAACTCTTAGAAGAAAACATAGGCATAAATCAACATGAGCTTGTATTGAGCAGTGGTTTCTCAGATCTGAAACCAAAAGTACAAACCACAAAAGAAAAACAACAGACGAATGGGACTTCAGCAAAGTTAAAAATTTTTGTTCTTTGAAGGATACCACAAAGAACATAAAAGACAATCCATCGAATGGGAGAACATGTTTATAAATCATATATCTGATGAGAGAACCTGTGTCTAGGATATATAAAGTCTCTTACACCTTCAATAATCAAATTAAAAATAAACTAATTTTAAAATGGCCAAAGATTTACATAGATATTTCTTCAAAGAAGATATACAAATGGCAAATCAGTGCATGAAAACAAGCTCAATGTCATTAACCATCAGGAAAATGAAAATACTAAACACAATGGGATACCCCTTCATGGACCCTAAGATGGCCATAAACGAAAAGGCAGATAATAACAAATGTTGGTGAAGATATGGAGGAATTGGAACCCTCTTACATTGCTGGTGGCAATGTAGGATGGCCATAGCTGCTTTGGAAAACAGTCTGGTGTTTCCTCACAAGGTAATATAGAGTTACCACATAATTCAGCAATTCTATCCCTAGGTATATACCCAAGAGAAATGAATACTTTTGCTCACACAAAAACTTATACGTGAATGTTCATAGCAGCATTGTTCATAATAGCCAAAAGGTGAAAATAACCCACATGTCCATCAATGGATGAATGAATGAACAAAATGTGATATATCAACATGATAGAACATTTTTCAATAATTAAAAAGGAAAAATGTACTGTTACATGCTACAACATGGGCGAACCTCAAAAACATCTGTTAAGTGAAATAAACCAGTCACAAAAGACCACATAGTGCAGAATTCCATTCCAGTGAAGTGTCTAGAATGGGCAAATTATTAGAGACAGCAACTAGATTAATGGTTGCCTAGGGATATAAGAGTTGAAATGAGCTTCTTCTTGGGATGATGAAAATGTTCCAAAATTCGTTGTAACACTGACTGTACAACTTTTTGAATATACTTAAAGTCATTGACTTGCATACTTAAAATTAGTGAATTATGTGAAATATGAACTATGTCTTAAAGTTGTTATAAAAAATAAAATTGCATGTCACCGTTAGGATCCCAGTGTTCTCATCTCTATCTGTTAAAAAAGGAGCTGAGTCGTACACTTGATTGTTCCATTTTCACCATTCTGTAACTCCATGGTTTTGTGGTTACCAACAGACTTCAGTATTGTCACACATATGGTGTTTTTAATTGCTAATGATACTTAATAGTTCTAAGAAAATTCTCAAATTATTTTTGGAAGTTTCTAGGGCATAAATAACAAACCAATAATCATTCCCTTTATAAGCCAACAGAGTGAAGGCCGCTGCTTTCCTAGACCATTTGAAGAGTTACCACTTGTATATTAATTGAGCCCTAAGAGGACTAGGTTTCTATACTGACTTAGTAAGGAAGACACTATATATAATCAAAAAATTTTCATCAGCTTACATTGTTAAAAACCGCCTCTTATTTCTGCTGCCCGAGCATTTACTATATGGATCAAGCACTAGAGAAAGAAATTGAATTAAAAGTTAGTATCTTTTGAAATACAGGCAGAAAAAATCTTGGCAGATTACCTATATAAATCGAAGGTATATGGAACAATGGCAGTGATTAGAGGCTGTGACTTGACCCAGACTTTCAATCCAAATTCTTGAAAAAAATTAGTTAAAAAAAATCTATGGCCATTAAATGACAAAACGAGACAACACAAATCAACATAAAGTTCCTAAATGTAACCAGTTTGCAAGAATTAAAATGATTATTTTCCTCATACAGCTTGGCTGTTCTGGCATATGATAAAGGTAGAATGCAGGATCCTCTAGCTGTTTGGAGCTTAAAAATGGCTCATACTACAAACAGAGTTGATAGATGAGCTTCCTACAGCACAACTTCAAACAATGTATCTGGCTTGTGGACTTTGAGAGCCAATAGATAGAGGCTGGCTAGTCTGACACAAGGCAGTAAGAGTAGCTTTTTCTCAAGCCAAGGCAACAGGATCATAAACCATTCGAAGTACTGAGGCCAGTAGCAAAGGAGGCTCTGCAGAGTGTTATCTTTATGCATAAGTGTCCTGAAAGAGCTGATGGTCCCCCAAGGCTATTCAGAAAGGCACTACAAACAGGCAGTGACGCTAATTGCCATGTCCTCTTTGGATGTGAGGAGGGCTCTATGTAGTTATCCAGAACTACAGCCATCATTAAAATAAATACCACTTCTAAAAACAGAGACAGTCAGAAGGGCAAAATATAAGCAAATTAGTTCAGCAGGGACTTCCTTGAAGTTAGAGAGCCAGAAAAAAAAAAAAAGTATAGGTTAAAACTGAATAAGAAGAGAAGAGACAAGAGAATAAAATGTAGCGTTTTAGAGGTAGATGGAGCCTGATTATCTTACCATGTTTCGTATTTGTCAAGATAAGCTAAACTGCAATAGTAAATTCAGAAATATCTGTGGCTTAACAAAACAAAAGTTTCTTTCTTAATTACAGATGTTTAATTTGGGCTGGCGGACACTTTCAACCACCTTGATGATTCAAGGTTCCAAGCTCTTTTTTTTTTTTTAATTTAATTTGATTTAATTTTAAGTTCCAGGATACAAGTGCAAGATGTGCAGGTTTGTTTCACAGGCAAACATGTGCCATGGTGATTTGCTGCACCTACCTATCAAGCCATCACCTAGGTTTTAAGCCCCACATGCATTAGCTATTTATCCTGATGCTCTCCTTCCCCTCGCTCCCTTACCCGCGCAGGCCCCAGTGTGTGTTGTTCCCCTTCCTGTGTCCATGTGTTCTCATTCCAAGCTCTTTCCATATGATGATAATGCCACAGCTTCCAAAGTTGCTGTGGTGAGAGAATGGAGAGATGGATGATCCTCACTGGCTTCTCTCAGGGGTGACACATGATTTGTGTTCACATTTCCTAGGCCAGAACTCAGGCACATGGCTCCGATCCAACATCAAAGATTCTAGGGGTCGTAGTTTTCCTGTGAAACATAGAGACAAAAAATTGGGAAGATGGTCAGGTCACTATTATGTACCATCTTCCCAATTTTTGCCATATCCAGTTACTCCTTGAATTTGCTTGATATTTTACTTTAAATCAATTCACCTAAAAATATCAATACCAATTTTAAGCTGGTTTGATGTAACAATATTTTTAAATATGCATTAAAATAAATGCATTTAATACAATTACTAAGTATATGTTATGGACAATCTAAAATCACCTGCTATATCACCAATAGTAAGTATATACACATTCGAAAAAACTAATCTAACTTTCTAATTTTAAGATGAGAAAATTGAGGTCCAGAAGACTGACATGAATCCCCCAAAGTCATAGAGGAAGCTGTATAGCAAATCCAGAACTAGACTCTAAGTTTTCTTTCCACTATTCCATGTTTTCAGTTCTCCAAGTTTGTGGGGAAAGGATGTGGGCACTAGAAAAACAAACTGAATCACTGCAATTAGAGGAATTAAAAAGAACACAGACACAATGTACAAATATCTTAGAGGAAAAATAAACCAGTAAGAAGAGTTGTGAAGGCTGCAAGGCAGATGGGGTCTCTTGGGAAACATGACTCCCATACAAATCAGCAGATTTGGGTGCATGGTTGTCTAAATGCTGATTTTCTGAATTAGACTCACTGGTGAATAACTCTAGAGCCCCTGAGAACCACCATGAGAATGCAGAGGAGCAAATGTGGCTGGAGGAGGCTCTGGGACAGCAGCTGGGCTCTCTGCATGCAGAGGCACCGGAAGTATTGTCTGTCCCACGGCTCACTGCCCTTTTGTGCACGGGCGACCAACCCTCGGGAACACACTTCTGATCAACACAGGGGAGAGCACCAGTTCACTCTGGAGCGAAACAAAATACCAAAAGGATTTGGGTAGGAAACTGCTGGAGGATTTCTGAGAGTGCTTTAACATTCTAAAAACCAGGTTTCCAAACAAACGCTTACTCCCGAAGAATCACAATGGATGCCGCAGATTTAATTTTACTAATTAGGATAATAGAATTTAGCACCTTAGATTTTAGAGGTCATCCACTCCAGCAGTTGTCAATTTTCTTTTGAAACCCATGAAAACCATTTTTTCAAAATAAATCTTCTGAACAAACTTACTACATAGAACTGATAGAAAGCAGAACCACACTGGTTGGTGGGGAGAGAGAAGGGGTCCTGTAGCTTTGCCAGCTTGGGTCCTCTTTCCACCCTTCTTCTCTCCCTCTGAGCACAGCATAATTTGATGCCTCTTCATCCAGACCAATGCTTCTATGTTAGAATGCAGAAACTAGGCCTGGAGGGATGTGAAAATTTCTGAGGCTACTCGTTAGATAATGGCAGAGTTAGAACTAGAATCATAGTCTTTTGACTCATATTAAGTCTTCCTGTGGGATTATTATGGCAAGAAACCATGATATTGTGATTCATATACTCTGTAATGTAGAAAAGTTCTTAGCAATAATATCTAGACATCATATACTATTTGAAATACATCATAAAGTTGTTTTCCTCTCCTGTCCTAGACACTGAAAACACACAACACAGATTAAGTTCTTTTTTAGAAAAGAACAGATATATTGAGGTATATTTAGAAAAACAGATATATTGAGGTATAACCAACATAAAATAAACTGCAATAAAATAAAACTGACTTAAAACATTAAAATTTATATATGACAAATTTTGAAATAAACACACACCTGTGAAACTATTTTCAAGATAATGAACGTATTTGTTATACCTCCAAGTTTTCTTATGCCCTTTGTAATCTCTTCTCAACTTTCCCTGTATCCTCCCCATTCCAAGGCAACAACTGTTCTGATTTGCATCACTATAAATTAGGTTGCATATTATAAAATTTTATGTAAATAGAATAACATAGAATGTGATGTTTTTATTCTCTGGCTGATTTCTTTTAGCATAATACTTTTGAGACTCATTTGTGGTGTTGTACATGTGAAGAGTTCAATTTTATTGCAGAGTGCTATCTTATTACATGGCTATAATACACTTTGTTTATCCATTCATCTGTTGGTGGATATTTGAGTTACTTTCACTTTTTGGCTATTACAAATAAAGCTATTCTGAATATTTCTGGACAAGCTTCTGTATGGAAATTTCTGTTAGGTACATACCTAGAGGTGAAATGATTGCGTGATGTGGTAAGTGTATGATTGAGTGTTTAAGAAAGTGCCAAATTGTTTTCCAGCATTATGGTTCCACTTACGGTCCCGTTTGTGATGCTTGAGAGTTCTAATTGCCCCACATCCTTACCAACGCTTTGTAGTTGTTTTCTTTTTTTTTTTTTAATTTTAGCTATTCCAATAGGTATGTAGAGGTACTCGTTGTGGTTTTGTTGTTTCAATTTAATTTCATTTCCTAAGGACTGATGATGTTGAGTACTGATCTTTTCATGTGCTTATTTGCCATCTTTATACCTTTATGGTGAAGTGTCTGTTCAAAACTTTTGCCAAATATTTAAATTGGGTTGTTTGTTGTCATATTGGGTTTTGCAACCTAATTTATACTGACGGAAATCAGAACAGTAGTTGCCTTGGAATGGGGAGGATACGGGGAAGGTTGAGAGGGGATTACAAACGGCATAAGAAAACTTGGAGGTATAACAAATATGTTCATTATCTTGAAAATAGTTTCATGGGTGTGTGTTTATTTTATATCTTTATACATTCTGAATACAAGACCTTTATCAGAAATGTGATTTGCAAATATTTTATTCCAGTCTGTGACTCTTCTTTACATCTTCTTAACAGTATGACCCAAAGAACAGACACTGTTAATTTTGATCAAGTCCAAGATATCAATTTTTTTCTTTTGTGGACTATGCTTCTGTTGTAGTAACTAGTAAATTTTTACCCAATCCAATCTCACAGAGATTTTCTTTTACTTTTTTAAATAAAAGTTTTAGAGTTTTAGGTTTTACATTTAGTTCTCTGATCCACTTTCAGTTAATATTTGTATATTGTAGAAGGTATGGATTACAGTTATTTTTGTATATGAAGATCTATTTGTTGAAGACATTCTTCTCTCTCCAGTAAGTTAGCTTTACACTTTTGTCAAAAGTCGGTTGTTCATGCATGTATTGATGTATTTTGTATTCTCTAACCTGTTCCATTTGATTTCATTTGATGTATTCGTTTATTTCTATACCAACATCACACAACCTGTATTACTGTAGCTTTAGGAACAATCTTGAAAGATAATATTAAGTCCTTGAATTTGCTCCACTTTTTAAAAGTTATTTTGGCCCTTTAGGTCCATTTCATTTCCATACAAATTTTAGACTCCCCTTTTTGATTTCTCCAAAAATGCCTGCTGAGATTTTGATTGAGATTGCATGGAAATGATAGATCAATTTGGAGAGAGTTGACATCTTAACAAAAATGAATCTTCTGGTCCAAGAACACGCTATTGCTCTTCATTGGTTTATGTCTTCTTTAATTTCTTTCAGAAATATTTTGTAATTTTTAGTGTACTGTTCATATACATCTTCTGTCACGTTCTTATTCTTGATGCTATTGTAAATTGTATTTCCTATTTCAATTTTCAATTATCCATTACAATCACTTAATAATATAATACATTTCTATAGAAATTTATCGGATTTTCCTTTATCAGACATGTGATTTACAAATATTTTATTCCAGGCTGGAGCCAAGATGGCTGAATAGGAACAGCTCCGGTCTACAGCTCCCAGCGTGAGCGACGTAGAAGACGGGTGATTTCTGCATTTCCATCTGAGGTACTGGGTTCATCTCACTAGGGAGTGCCAGACAGTGGGCGCAGGACAGTGGGTGCAGTGCACCGTGCGCAAGCCGAAGGAGGGCGAGGCATTGCCTCACTCGGGAAGCACAAGGGGTCAGGGAGTTCCCTTTCCTAGTCAAAGAAACGGGGGACAGACGGCACCTGGAAAATCGGGTCACTCCCACCCCAATACTGCGCTTTTCCGATGGGCTTAAAAAACGGCGTACCAGGAGATTATATCCTGCACCTGGATCGGAGGGTCCTATGACCATGGAGTCTCACTGATTGGTAGCACAGCAGTCTGAGATCAAACTGCAAGGCTGCAGCGAGGCTGGGGGAGGGGAGCCCGCCATTGCCTAGGCTTGCTTAGGTAAACAAAGCAGCGGGGGAAGCTCCAACTGGGTGGAGCCCACCACAGCTCAAGGAGGCCTGCCTGCCTCTGTAGGCTCCACCTCTGGGGGCAGGGCATAGACAAAAAGACAGCAGCAACCTCTGCAGACTTAAATGTCCCTGTCTGACAGCTTTGAGAGAGCAGTGGTTCTCCCAGCACGCAGCTGGAGATCTGAGAACAGGCAGACTGCCTCCTCAAGTGGGTCCCTGACTCCTGACCCCTGAGCAGCCTAACTGGGAGGCACCCCCCAGTAGGGGCAGACTGACACCTCACATGGCCGGGTACTCCTCTGAGACAAAACTTCCAGAGGAACAATCAGACAGCAGCATTTGCAGTTCACGAAAATCTGCTGTTTTGCAGCCACCGCTGCTGGTACCCAGGCAAACAGGGTCTGGAGTGGACCTCTAGCAAACTCCAACAGACCTGCAGCTGAGGGTCCCATCTGTTAGAAGGAAAACTAACAAACAGAAAGGACATCCACACCAAAAACCCATCTGTACATCACCATCATCAAAGACCAAAAGTAGATAAAACCACAAAGATGGGGAAAAAACAGAGCAGAAAAACTGGAAACTCTAAAAATCAGAGCGCCTCTCCTCCTCCAAAGGAACGCAGCTCCTCACCAGCAACGGAACAAAGCTGGATGGAGAATGACTTTGACGAGTTGAGAGAAGAAGGCTTCAGACGATCAAACTACTCCGAGCTACAGAAGGAAATTCAAACCAAAGGCAAAGAAGTTGAAAAGTTTGAAAAAAATTTAGACGAATGTATAACTAGAATAACCAATACAGAGAAGTGCTTAAAGGAGCTGATGGAGCTGAAAGCCAAGGCTCGAGAACTACGTGAAGAATACAGAAGCCTCAGGAGCCAATGCGATCAACTGGAAGAAAGGGTATCAGTGATGGAAGATGAAATGAATGAAATGAAGTGAGAAGGGAAGTTTAGAGAAAAAAGAATAAAAAGAAACGAACAAAGTCTCCAAGAAATATGGGACTATGTGAAAAGACCAAATCTACGTCTGATTGGTGTACCTGAAAGTGACAGGGAGAATGGAACCAAGTTGGAAAACACTCTGCAGGATATTATCCAGGAGAACTTCCCCAATCTAGCAAGGCAGGCCAACATTCAGATTCAGGAAATATAGAGAACGCCACAAAGATGCTCCTCGAGAAGAGCAACTCCAAGACACATAATTGTCAGATTCACCAAAGTTGAAATGAAGGAAAAAATGTTAAGGGCAGCCAGAGAGAAAGGTCAGGTTACCCACAAAGGGAAGCCCGTCAGACTAACAGTGGATCTCTCGGCAGAAACTCTACAAGCCAGAAGAGAGTGGGCGCCAATATTCAACTTAAAGAAAAGAATTTTCAACCCAGAATTTCATATCCAGCCAAACTAAGCTTCATAAGTGAAGGAGAAATAAAATACTTTACAGACAAGCAAATGCTGAGAGATTTTGTCACCACCAGGCCTGCCCTAAAAGAGCTCCTGAAGGAAGCACTAAACATGGAAAGGAACAACCGGTACCAGCCGCTGCAAAATCGTGCCAAATTGTAAAGACCATCGAGGCTAGGGAGAAACTGCATCAACTAACAAGCAAAATAACCAGCTAACATCATCATGACAGGATCAAATTCACACATAACAATATTAACTTTAAATGTAAATGGACTAAATGCTCCAATTAAAAGACACAGACTGGCAAATTGGATAAAGAGTCAAGACCCATCAGTGTGCTGTATTCAGGAACCCCATCTCACGTGCAGAGACAAATATAGGCTCAAAATAAAAGGATGGAGGAAGATCTACCAAGCAAATGGAAAACAAAAAAGGCAGGGGTTGCAATCCTAGTCTCTGATAAAACAGACTTTAAACCAATAAAGATCAAAAGAGACAAAGAAGGCCATTACATAATGGTAAAGGGATTAGTTCAACAAGAAGAGCTAACTATCCTAAATATATATGCACCCAATACAGGAGCACCCAGATTCATAAAGCAAGTCCTGAGTGACCTACAAAGAGACTTAGACTCCCACACAATAATAATGGGAGACTTTAACACCCCACTGTCAATATTAGACCGATCAATGAGACAGAAAGTTAACAAGGATACCCAGGAATTGAACTCAGCTCTGCACCAAGTGGACCTAATAGACATCTACAGAACTCTCCACCCCAAATCAACAGAATATACATTTTTTTCAGCACCACACCACACCTATTCCAAAATTGACCACACAGTTGGAAGTAAAGCTCTCCTCAGCAAATGTAAAAGATCAGAAATTATAACAAACTGTCTCTCAGACCACAGTGCAATCAAACTAGAACTCAGGATTAAGAAACTCACTCAAAACTGCTCAACTACATGGAAACTGAACAACTTACTCCTGAATGACTACTGGGTACATAACAAAATGAAGGCAGAAATAAAGATGTTCTTTGAAACCAATGAGAACAAAGACACAACATACCAGAATCTCTGGGACAGATTCAAAGCAGTGTGTAGTGGGAAATTTATAGCACTAAATGCCCCACAAGAGAAAGCAGGAAAGATCCAAAATTGACACCCTAACATCACAATTAAAAGAACTAGAGAAGCAAGAGCAAACAAATTCAAAAGCTAGCAGAAGGCAAGAAATAACTAAGATTAGAGCAGAACTGAAGGAAATAGAGACATAAAAAACCCTTCAAAAAATTAATGAATCCAGGAGCTGGTTTTTTGAAAGGATCAACAAAATTGATAGACTGCTAGCAAGACTAATAAAGAAGAAAAGAGAGAAGAATCAAATAGATGCAATAAAAAATGATAAAAGGGATATTACCACCGATCCCACAGAAATACAAACTACCATCAGAGAATACTACAAACACCTCTATGCAAATAAACTAGAAAATCTAGAAGAAATGGATAAATTCCTCGACACATACACCCTCCCAAGACTAAACCAGGAAGAAGTTGAATCTCTGAATAGACCAATAACAGGCTCTGAAATTGTGGCAATAATCAATAGCTTACCAACCAAAAAGAGTCCAGGACCAGATGGATTCACAGCCGAATTCTACCAGAGGTACAAGGAGGAACTGGTACTATTCCTTCTGAAACTATTCCAATCAATAGAAAAAGAGGGAATCCTCCCTAACTCATTTTATGAGGCTAGCATCATCCTGATACGAAAGCCGGACAGAGACACAACCAAAAAAGAGAATTTTAGACCAATATCCTTGATGAACATTGATGCAAAAATCCTCAATAAAATACTGGCAAACTGAATCCAGCAGCACATCAAAAAGCTTATCCACCGTGATCAAGTGGGCTTCATCCCTGGGATGCAAGGCTGGTTCAATATACGCAAATCAATAAATGTAATCCAGCATATAAACAGAACCAAAGACAAAAACCACATGATTATCTCAATAGATGCAGAAAAGGCCTTTGACAAAATTCAACAACGCTTCATGCTAAAAACTCTCAATAAATTAGGTATTGATGGGATGTATCTCAAAATAATAAGAGCTATCTATGACAAACCCACAGCCAATATCATACTGAATGGGCAAAAACTGGAAGCATTCCCTTTGAAAAGTGGCACAAGACAGGGATGCCCTCTCTCACCACTCCTATTCAACATAGTGTTGGAAGTTCTGGCCAGGGCAATTAGGCAGGAGAAGGAAATAAAGGGTATTCAATTAGGAAAAGAGGAAGTCAAATTGTCCCTGTTTGCAGGTGATATGTTTGTGTATCTAGAAAACCCCATTGTCTCAGCCCCAAATCTCCTTAAGCTGATAAGCAACTTCAGCAAAGTCTCAGGATACAAAATCAATGTAGAAAAATCACAAGCATTCTTATACACCAATAACAGACAAACAGAGAGCCAAATCATGAGTGAACTCCCATTCACAATTGCTTCAAAGGGAATAAAATACCTAGGAATCCAACTTACAAGGGATGTGAAGGACCTCTTCAAGGAGAACTACAAACCACTGCTCAATGAAATAAAAGAGGATACAAAGAAATGGAAGAACATTCCATGCTCATGGGTAGGAAGAATCAATATGGTGAAAATGGCCATACTGCCCAAGGTAATTTATAGATTCAATGCCATCCCCATAAAGCTACCAATGACTTTCTTCACAAAATTGGAAAAAACTACTTTAAAGTTCATATGGAACCGAAAAAGAGCCCGCATTGCCAAGTCAATCCTAAGCCAAAAGAACAAAGCTGGAGGCATCATGCTACCTGACTTCAAACTATACTACAAGGCTACAGTAACCAAAACAGCATGGTACTGGTACCAAAACAGAGATATAGATAAATGGAACAGAGCAGAGCCCTCAGAAATAACACCGCATATCTACAACTATCTGATCTTTGACAAACCTGAGAAAAACAAGCAATGGGGAAAGGATTCCCTATTTAATACATGGTGCTGGGAAAACTGGCTAGCCTTATGTAGAAAGCTGAAACTGGATCCCTTCCTTACACCTTATACAAAAATTAATTCAAGATGGATTAAGGACTTAAATATAAGACCTAAAACCATAAAAACCCCAGAAGAAAACCTAGGCAATACCATTCAGGACATAGGCATGGGCAAGGACTTTATGTCTAAAACACCAAAAGCAATGGCAACACAAGCCTAAATTGACAAATGGGATCTAATTAAACTAAAGAGCTTCTGCACAGCAAAAGAAACTACCATCAGAGCGAACAGGCAACCTACCATCAGAATGAACAGGCACCCTACAAAATGGGAGAAAATTTTCGCAACCTACTCATCTGACAAAGGGCTAATATCCAGAATCTACAATGAACTCAAACAAATTTACAAGAAAAAAACAAACAACCCCATCAAAAAGTGGGCGAAGGACATGAACAGACACTTCTCAAAAGAAGACATTTATGCAGCCAAAAAACACATCAAAAAATGCTCACCATCACTGGCCATCAGAGAAATGCAAATCAAAACCACAATGAGATACCGTCTCACACCAGTTAGAATGGCAGTCATTAAAAAGTCAGGAAACAACAGTTGCTGGAGAGGATGTGGAGAAATAGGAACACTTTTACACTGTTGGTGGGACTGTAAACTAGTTCAACCCTTGTGGAAGTCAGTGTGGCGATTCCTCAGGGTTCTAGAAGTAGAAATACCATTTGACCCAGCCATCCCATTACTGGGTATATACCCAAAGGACTATAAATCGTGCTGCTATAAAGACACATGCACACGTATGTTTATTGCAGCACTATTCACAATAGCAAAGACTTAGAACCAATCCAAATATCCATCAATGATAGACTGGATTAAGAAAATGTGGCACATATACACCATGGAATACTATGCAGCCATAAAAAATGAAGAGTTCATGTCCTTTGTAGGGACATGGATGAAATTGGAAATCATCATTCTCAGTAAACTATCGCAAGAACAAAAAACCAAACACCGCATATTCTCACTCATAGGTGGGAATTGAACAACGAGCACACATGGACACGGGACGGGGAACATCACACTCTGGGGACTGTTGTGGGGTGGGGAGAGGGGGCAGGGATAGCTTTAGGAGATATACCTAATGCTAAATGACGAATTAATGGGTGCAGCACACCAGCGTGTCACATGTATACATATGTAACTAACCTGCACATTGTGCACATGTACCCTAAAACTTAAAGTATAATAATAAAATTTAAAAAATAAAAATAAAAAAAGAAACAAATATTTTATTCCAGTCTGTGACTCTTCTTTACATCTTAACAGTGTGTTCCAAGGAGCAGACATTGTTTATTTTGATCTTGTATGCTGCAATTTTTCTAAAATTACCTGTTAGTGTTAGTTGTGTTTCTGTAGATTTTGTGGGATTTTCTTTATAGGTAATCATGTTGTGCATTAATGAAAACAGTGTTCTTTCTTTCCTTCCAATCTGGATGTGTGTTTTCTCCTTGCTTTATTGTACTGACTAGAAACTCCAGTATAATATTGAATAGCAATGGTAAGAATGGACATTTTTGCTTTGTTCCTTATCTTAGGGGAAAAGCATTCAATTTCATACTATTAAGTATGTTAGCTATATACTTTTCATAGTTGCCCTTTCAGGTTGGGAATATTTCCTCTATTCCTAGTGATATGGTTTCGAACTGTATCTCCACCCAAATCTCATGTTGAATTGTAATCCGTAATGTTGGAGGTGGGGCCTGATGGGAGGTAATTGGATCATGGGGGTGGTCCTTGAATGACTTAGTACCATCCCTTTGGTGCTATTCTCATGACAGTGAGTGAATTATTGTGACATCTGGTTGTTTAAAAGTGTGCAGCAACTTCTCACTTTCTCTCTCTTGTTCCTGCTCTGGCCATGTAAAATGTGCCTACTTTTCCTTGACCTTCTGCCATGATTGAAAGTTTCCTGAGGCCTCTCCAGAAGCTGAGCAAATGCCAGCATCATGCTTCCTGTACAGCCTGTGGATCTGTGAGCCAATTAAACCTCTTTTCTTTATAAATTACCCAGGCTCAGGTATTTCTATATAAAAATGCAAGAACAAATGAATACACCTAGTTTTCTGAAAGTTTTAATTAAGTATGTGTTTTGGAGTTTATTAAGTGCTTTTATAGATGTATTGGAGCAGTCTTTTAAAAAATTCTGTTTATAGGGTTAATCACATTGATTGATTTTCAGACGTTAAACCAAGCTTGCATTCCTGGGATGTATTATTTGAAATATATTGCTGGACTTGATTTTATACAATCTTCTTAATTTTGTGCCAATGAGAATTATCGAGAGTAGTTTTCTTTATGCTTTTACCTCATTTTGGTATCAGGGCAATGCTGGTCTTATAGAATAAATTGGGAAGTATTTCATCTTCAATTTTCTGGAAGATTTTATATAGAATTAGTTTTTTTTTTATTAAGTATTTGGTAGAATTCCCCAATGATCTTGGCTTAGCGTTTTCTTTATGGAAAGGCTTTTAGCTACAAATATAAGTGCTTTAATAAATGTAGGACTATTCAGCTTATCTATTTCTCTTGAGTGAGCTTTAGCGTATGTATTTCAAAGAACATATCTAGTTCATTTAAGTAGTCAAATTTATTGGCTTAAAATTATTCTAATATTTCCTCATTTCCCTTTTAATATCTGTACAATCTGTAGTGATATACCCTCTCTCAATCCTACTATCAGTAATTTTTGTCTTCTGTCTTTTTATCCTCAATTTGGCTAGAGGTTCATCAATTTTTATTGACCTTCTCACAGATAATTATGATACTCAAATGCCCTCTTGATTCCCCCGTTTCTTACTGTAACTCTAGTTCCCACATCTGGAGTCTCCATACAACAAAAAAGGCTGGTCTTTCTTCAAGTATAAAATTCAAACTCAGGGTCACATGTAAGACTTTCTCTAATATTCTGCAACTGCTTATGTGCCAGTCATAATAAAATACTTGTAGTTTTCTTGGTACACCAAAAATGTAATGTCTTTGTGTTTCTGCATATGTTGTTTCCATTAAGGAAAATACCCTCTCCCTTTTTCCTCTTTCCCTAGCTCTTGATCATTCTTTAATATTCAGTTTAAGGATTACTTTTGGGTAGCATGGCTTCTTTGGCTGCCTCCTACCTTGCCACTCAGTGTTTTCATAGCACCCTTGCATATGGCTCCATAGAACTTACTATGTTTATATTATTGATATTCTGTTTACTCATATGTGTCAATCTAAGATAACAACAGAGAGAATTCCTATCGATAGAAATGAATTCAATTGGGAATAAACAGGGGGTTAAAACTCATGTTATGACAAATCATAGGCATGTCTGGAGAGGCTGGGATAAGGAAAAACTCTTAAAGGCAAAAAGAAGAAGTACACATAAGCTGCTTTGAAACAAACGTCATTGGCCACAGGGACCTGCTGCAGGAGCTGATGTTAACTCATTGGTGAAAACAGCCATTGCTAGGCAACTGTTCTTGTGAGGGTGGCTGATCTGAAAAGTTGCAGTCTTGAGGAACTTTTTGCAATGAGCCAGATGAGCAGAGTGTGTAGGAACTTCTTGGGCAGAAACAACTGCTTCACTCGTCTTATTTATTTATTTATTTATTTTTGAGACTGGGTCTTGCTCTGTTGCCCAGGCTGGAGTGCAATGGGCAATTATAATTCTTGGGCTCAGGCAATCCTCCTGCCTCAGCCTCCCAACTAGCATGAACTACAGACATGCGTCACAACACCAGGCTAATTTTTAAATTTTTTTTGTAGAGATGGACTCTCCTTACGTTGCCCAGTCTGGTGCCTCACTTATCTTTGTATCCTCGCTGCTCAGGTCTATGTCATAGAACTAGTGATCAATAATGAGCCAATATTAGGCAGTACTGTTTAGTCTGTTGATTCTTAAAGTGTGATCCCTGGATCAGCAGCATCAGCATCACCTGGTTGAACTTGTTAGCGCTATAAATTATGTCCCATCCAGCTTGACTGAATCAGAAACTCTGGAGGGGAGACACAGCCATCTGTAGTTTAAAAAACTCTCCAGGAGACTCTGATGCCTGATAGAATTTGAGAGTAATTGGTTGAGTAGTGAGAAAATGACTGTAGAATCAGTGAGGCCTGGCTTAAATACTGTCTCTGTCACCTTTAAACTCTTTGACCTGAAATAACTTACTTAACATTTTTAAAGCCTCAGGTTTTTATATATAAAAAGGGGGTAGTAGGAGCTGTTTTATGACTGCTTAATGTTTAAATTAAATAATATAGCTAAAGCGTCTAGTATAATAATTGTCCCATGATATGTGCTCAATAAATGATAACCATAAACAATAATAATAATAATGATACCCATATATAATAATTTCCAGTTGATGGAAGTGGAAGACTGCTTTTGGCAGTCTCTCTGGATATTGTTTTGATTATACATAGAATAAAAAAAGTTACAGGGAAGTATAAAAAAATCCTTAGAATCAAAATATTGTAAGAAATGGCAAACAGAATCAACAAGAAAAAGGAAAGAAAAGAAAAATGATCAAGAGAGATAAATTTATTATGAGAGGATAAAATTCCAATGAAATTATTTGAAAATGTGGTACCTATATTTTGCAATACAATTCACAAGTTTTTTGCTTGGTTGAAAATAGAGACTTGGACATATTCAAAGTTTGAGTGGTATTTAATTTGCAAATTATTATCTTTTTTTATTTATAAGATTATTATTGAGCACCAACCACAGAGTAGGCTTGGTGGTAGATACAGAAATACAGAGATAAAGGACAGAGTATTCCTCACCTAAACTAAGCTAAGCTCAAGAGTCTAGTGGGACTTACCAGACACTACCAGGGTGATATCTAAAACAGGTCAGGTGATTTTTTTTTTTTTTTCAGACACAGTTCAAGCGATTCTCCTGCCTCAGCCTCCCAAGTAGTTGGGACTACAGGTGTGTGCCACCACGCTAACCTAATTTTTTTGTGTTTTTAGTAGAGATGGGATTTCACCATGCTAGCCAGGATGGTCTCGATCTCCTGACCTCTTGATAAGTGATTATTTCTTTAGGATTTTAAATAATTTATAATGGGAGGGATACAAAGAGGGAAAGCTAGATGAGCAGCTAAGATGGCCGTCAGTGTTTAGTGTGTCTGTGAACAAAGAGAAAGAGATTGTCTTCAGCATCAGCATTCCTTAAGTGGGCATTTCTCCTGGAATTTGTAGCCCTGATTTTGTTGAAGGTTTCACCAAGCCAGATCCATTGAAAAACTGTGTTTATTACTTTGGTTTTTCAGGGTAGAATTTCAAATTTGGTTTGATGCTCCAAATGTGTTGGTGATCTATACATTCAAGGCAGTGTGCTAGGTGCTGGGGGTACCAAAGATGAACAAAATGTAATCTTTGTCCTGAAAGAGTTCAGTGTCTACTGAGATAGATGCATATACTCTTAACAACGGTGTATTTTATAGCACTTTATAGTCAAAAAACACTTTCACGTAAATGATCTTAATTGGTCTTCACAATAGCCTAATGAAGTAAGTAGAGTCAGTATTGTCAGCCCATTCTACAGATAGACAATTAGATTAAAAACAATGCCTATTGTTTGTCTGGAGATTTACACTATGTTAACTCCATCCTCTATGTTACTGTCCTTAGGCAATCAATCAACAAGGTTTGTTGATTCTATCACCTACATGTCCCTGTAATTTCTCTCACTATTTCCACCACCACTGCCTTAGTTGAAATAAGTTCATCCTTCCTTGCCCAGGCTATTTCAATAACCTCCTAATTGGTCCCCCTGCCTACAATTTCTACCCACTCCAATCTGCCACAGAATTATCTTTCAAAAACAGCAATGATCATACCACTCAGCTGAAAAATTCTTGCTGGCTCCTCTCTCCACCAACATATGCATGGCATAAAGGCACTTCACAAGGCTCCCCCAATAAAAACTTCAAACCTTACCTCTTGATGTTGATCAACCCTGCCCCCTTGCTAAATACACACAGACTAGATGCTCCAGCTACACTAAACTTATCATATTTTTTCAACCCAATGATTGTTGAATATGAGTATCTACCAAACATTGCATGAGACTTGCTCATATTAACATTTTTAAAACCCAAAATTCAAATTAAACTGGCCATCCTGCTTTTTTCTTTGTTAAATCTGAGAACTCTAGTTCCTACAGACCTAAAATCCAGCTCTTATACCCCCTGGCCATTAAGCACTACCGCATGTGCAGTATCTAGTGACAACCAAGGCTGAAATTCCCACCCTGCCTTCATGGAACTTCCAGATGAGCAGAGAAGGTACAAAAACTATTTCTAGAATTGATATTTAACACTCAAAGCCTACATGTTTTTGATAAACATTGACGTGGTAAACTACAGGCCCAAGGACATGTCATGTACTCATCACATAGGAGAAAATAAATCCAAAACATTTTTTCAGTTGCCTAATGATAAGAATATATTGAAGGCAGTCTGAAAAGCTTAGTTGAAAATGTCTCGGTTACACTTTTACTCAAACTACTACAATATTGAGATCAGCGTAACCTTGGTCAAATTGCTTAACTCTTCTGTACTTCCTTTTAAAGTGTGCACGGGGGAGAGAATGGGGCAAGAGTAGGAGGGTAACCAAACTCTCTTGCCTAATGAAATGACTGTCAAGCTAAACGTGTAATATTAATATGTATTCAGACGAGGGCAGAGGCAAAAGTCAGGCGAGGAGCATTAATTAACAAGTTTTCAGTTCTTGTTGCAGAATGCACAAACCTGGAATTGGAGCCAGGAGATTGCAAAAATGATTCCAGATCTGCATGGTAACAATTTAGACTGACTTCCACTCCTGCCTGAAATTTTGCAGCAGAGGAAGTTCTTTCCCTGGCCGTCTGCCTTCCCCCGCCTCCTCCATCCCCCAGTACCTCAGGCCTCTCACTCCCCACATCTGTTTCCAAGCCAGAGAGCTTAGGGTCACAGCATGGCGCAATAAGCAGCATTAGCAGGCAGCATGAATCAGTGGCAAACCTTTGATTTTAATCCCTTGCCTCTCCTAGAGAGGAAGTGTGGTCTAGTGGTTAACCCACTGAAAAAGCAGCTAGAAGGCAAAATTCCTGGTCCTCTCCATGCCCTTGTTCTATTCTTATTGGGACACGCTGCCTGTCAAACATACTTTTTTTTTTTTTTTTTTTTCCAGCGTCCCTCTACTACATTATTCCCTCAACTGGCTTTATCATAAAACACATGCAGGAAACTGGTTAAACAATTCCTTAGCCTTATTCCAGAATCTCCCAGGGAAAGGCCTGGGAATCTCCATTTTTAACAGTTACTACAGATGAGTCTTTATAATCAGCCTCAGCTCATCTGTATGCCCGTTATACGTCACACCAGGCGAAGAAGAAGCAAGCTTTAAAGGAAACCTAGCCAGGGAACTGAGGCGAAAAGAGTGTATCTACAGAACGATTTGCTTTTACAAGCCCATGTGAGAAAGACGAAAGAGTAGGACAAGGAGATCCGGACTCTAGTTCTGGCTCTGTGTTTCCAGATCTGTGCGAGCATGGACAGGTCAGTGAAACTCCCCTGGTGGCATTCTCATCATCTTAAAAATAAAAGTGATTAGATCATCTCTTTCAGTTCTGTGATTCAATGAATTATTTCTGTGATTTCACAGAAATGCCAAGATGGGCTCAGAAAATCTCTTTTCCTGAAAATGACAGCGGGTGCAGTCACGGAGGTGTGGGCTGACTTGTTTGGGGTTGTGGGAAGACAATGGAGACAAGTGGCAGCCGGGAGGTTTGGGGCCATGGCCGCAAGGAGATTTCTCCCCTCCCTTCTCTCTTAAGGCTCTGCAGCTGGCCTACTTATGCAAAGGCTTTGGTTCCTCTTTCCTTTTTAAAAGCTTTTCTGATTCGTACATTCCCCTGAGGAGCAGAGATTCATCATTTTGCGGAGAACTTGCACACGCTTTCCTGAAAGGAAGAAAGGAGGGAGGGATGGGAGGGGTTGGGTGGATTAGTGAGTAGGCTAGGGTTGGTTGCCAAAGAAATGAGTCTCTCCATGTGTGATAAACATATAACCATCACATTGTTGGCTCTGAATATGCCCAGCAAAACCCTTTGTCCCACTTCCACAATGCCTAGAAGTGTGTTCTCGTTAGTGGACTGGACATCCGCCTACGCATCTGTCTCTGGAGCATTTGGGCATTCTTCCACCCCAGAACAAGTGGGGGTGAGTGAGGAGAAGGAGGAGTGAGTCATGACTGTAGGAAAAGGATGTCTTATGAAGCCAACGCAGAACTAGCTTCCTAGAAACATCATGACAGGTCCCATAAAGCCCACGTTTGGTTCTAATTATAACATGCCCACATTTGAGCATTTTTACAGTTTTCCCATGGTAACAACAGGGTTTCTGAGGAAGAGGACTTTGACTCAAATGTGCTCTATATGTCTAATAGTGTGAGCTGGTTGGACTAAAAAAAAAAGCAGTTATTTTTGCTATTTTACAAAGGAGATACTACTGGCTTGTCTATGCCTATTAACACAGCTATAAATGGGGGATAAGCACATGATATAAATAGGTCAAAATGAGCCAGATAAAATTTAAAAGATATTTTTTAAAGGCCAGGATGAGCAATGTAAACAAAATCAGAAAAAAATAAAAATCTTAAATAAGTGGAATTTGTTTTCCCCCTCAACTTGTGACAAATGGCAAGCTAAAAATAAACAAATAAGCAAGGATTTATTTAAAAAGCAACTTTGGAAGGACGCTTTGAACCATTTAATTCTGGCTCCATAGGCTACACATTCTGATCCTATTAAACCAGGACTGCTCTTTCTGGAGACGATCATAAAGCAGAGCACACATCTTTGAAAAATCAAGTTATGTTCAAGCATGATTTTAGTACCATGTGTTATTTTATTTTATTTACAAAATCTTTGAAAATGGCTAATTCTGAGAAAGTTATTCACAATCATTTGAAATTATATCTTAGTCCTTTGTTATTTTAGACAAATGAACATTTTATTTTTTGAATTAATTCTTTCCTATTTTTTATTATTTAGATACCAGAGATACTAGCCAGAACCTAGGAGACTGGAGTGAAAACCCTTTCTTCCTTTAGTATGAGGGATTCCAGGCTGGAATAACTAGATCTAGGAGACATCATGAGGCAAGAGGGATTTCCCAGGCTACGCTGGAGACAGAGCTGAGGAATAGTGTGTACTCCTGCGTGAAGCCGGCTTGGAGCTGGTTGGAATTTTTTTTTTTAACTCTCTGCAAAGCTGGCATATGTGGCATTTAGAAAAGGAAGAGAAATTCTGCCTATCCATTTTGCAAGATTATCAAATGAGACTTTACTCTGTAAATCTCAGCAGTTATGAAAGTTGGCATGGTTTTTAAACCCCACCACAGGAAGTGGTGATGATCAGAAAACATGTTGGCCATGTTTTGAAATTTTCCAGAAGTATAAGAGATTCTCTTCCTGTATAAATAATAATGACCTCAGGTTTAGTAACTTCTTAGGAAATGATTAAGGCAAAAAGATACATACCTTCCTCAATTTTAGTTTCTTCAGATAAATCCTTGGAATTTTGTATGATAAATTCAGGAAGTTTATTATGGTTTATTTTCATGACAAATGAAGAAATATTAACATGTGCTTGTTTTCCCCCATTTTAAGCATATTTACTTATTTTTACAACAAAATGCCCTCTTACCAAAATTTGGGCTAGAGCAGTAATGTTTTGAGGTGGGACCCCAATATATTGTGGATATTATAGTTGTTGATCAAAGTAATCAGTTGGCATCTGGTGAAGCAAAATATAATAGCTAATTTTTGTATAACGTATATAGCTTACTATGTGCCAGGCACTGTTTCCAGTACTTATAAAAATTGCCAGTATTGTAGATAATCCTCAAAACCACCTTGATTCCCATTTACAGATGGAAAAACAGAGGCACGGATAGGTTATGTAACTTGCCCTGGGTCACCAGATGATAAGAGAAGGAGCTGGGCTACAACTCTGGTAATGTGTTTCATCAGTCCAACCTCTTAATCACCATGTGATATTACCTCTTTGAAAAACTACCAAGAGCCCATTATAGAAAACAGAGCTGAGAGGAATGCATTTAAAAGACTCAAATTCTTGAAACTTAGTCTCAAACACAGACAAGCACTTTTTGAGAAATAGTCAGTAAGAGGAATATGCTTCTAGTGTCAAGAAGAGGAGTTCTTTGGCATGACTGTAGACACCTAAGGTCTTAGATATTGCTTGAATGAGTCATAAGAGGACAAAGGCCATTACTTCATCTTCTTTATCAACTGAAATATCATCCTTATGAAGTATCATAAAAGTGTACTTCCTGTCTATAAGGAACTTGTGGTTTGATAAGATAAAGGTAATTGTTGACATTTGATAAGCCCTTGTTGCAAAACTGCTGTAGATAGGGCATGTAAAAGTGAATAAGCCATCATGCTTGTTTTCAAGGTGGCTGCAGCCTGGATGGGAGATGGATAGTCACCACTGGGTGTGGTAGATGTCATGGCAGGTGGAAGAGAAGGAGTCTGTGAGAGCAGCAGGAGGGGCTCCAGCCTACGCAAGGGATTCCAGGATGTCTTCCCCAAGGACATAGTGCCTGACTGAAGTCCTTCAGAATGGTTTCCCCCCATTTCCACATCGCTCTTCCCTTCTCATCCATATCTGAATTTATAAGTAGTAGCTGTAAATACATGATCTGTTCTTATTTCCTACTCATATGTCTTCCTTCCCACTTACCTCCCAGGTTAGATGCTTGGATCAAGCTCAGCAGAAAAGAGCTAAGAAGCATTGGAGTAGGACAGCTGAATGCCTGGGAATAGATAATTTTTGCATCTGATGCACCCTATCTGTTTGGAGACCACACTACCTTAGCATTCTATGCAGATGGATCTCCTGGCTACTGACCACTTACCTGAGCTTCTTTTTCTTCTTTCTTTTTTATATTGCACATTGTAATTGTACATATTTATGAGGTATATATAATTTAATGTGTACATATATATGTTTTATAATGATCAAATCAGATATTTAGCTTATCCATCACTCATATATTTATCATTTCTTTGCTGTGAGAAACTTCAAAAGTCTCTCTTCTAAGCTATTTTGTAATATACAGTGGCTTACTGTTAACCATCATCACCCAAATGTGCAATGAAACACCAGAACTTATTCCTTCTATCTTATTCTAACTTTGTACCCCTGAGCTTTCTGTTAGTGTTGAGATTTCCTCTAATTTTACCTTCGTTTGCTTCTCGTTTCCCCATATATTCACATGATCTGATTTCTGCTTCCTTGCTTAGTTCCTGTCTCTCTGCTAACTCTAACCTTTGATTTATGTTTTCTTTTGGAGGGCCTTAAATTATATTTTTGCCCCTTGATTTACACACTACCTCCATGCCTCCTGACATGTGCACTCATATATTCCATTATGTCAATTAGGAATTTGAATCTTGGGAGCAGATAGAACTTAGTGCTAGATGCCCAAGAATAGAATCCAAAGTAAAATAGAAATCTTACTGCTCTCCCTTAACTAGAGAAAACTTCTGGGAGAGAAGTAATCTTGAAAATCTTTGACTGTTAACGGCTGTTATATATTGGAACATAGCCTTTTGATGAAAAAGGACTGCTTTAGACTTAGGTAGGCAATTTTAGTTGACAGTTATGTGCATTCCCTTTTTATTTTATTTACATTTTTTAATTTCTTTTTTATTATTATACTTTAAATTTTGGGATACATGTGCAGAACGTGCAGGTTTGTTACATAGGTATACATGTGCCATGTTGGTTTGCTGCACCCATCAACCTGTCATCTACATTAGGTATTTCTCCTAATGCTATCCCTTTCCTAGCCGCCCACACACTGACAGGCCCCAGTGTGGGATGTTCCCCTCCCTGGGTCCATGTGTTCTCATTGTTCACCTCCCACTTATGAGTGAGAACATGTGGTGTTTGGTTTTCTGTTCCTGTGTCAGTTTGCTGAGGATGATGGTTTCCAGCTTCATCCATGTCCCTGCAAAGGACATGAACTCATCATTTTTTATGGCTGCATAGTATTCCTTGGTATATATGTGCCACATTTTCTTTTCTTTTTTTCTCCAAGACAGAGTCTCTCTCTGTCACCCAGGCTGGAGTGCAGTGGCGCAATCACGGCTCACTGCAACCTCTGCCTCCCAGGTTCAAGTGATTCTCCTGCCTCAGCCTCCCAAGTAGCTGGGACTACAGGCACATGCCACCATGCCCAGCTAATTTTTTTTGTATTTTTAGTAGAGACGGGGTTTCACTGTGTTAGCCAGGATGGCCTCAATCTCCTGACCTTGTGATCCACCTGCCTCGGGCTCCCAAAGTGCTGGGATTACAGGCGTGAGCCACCGTGCCCAGCCCACATTTTCTTTATCTAGTTAATCATTGATAGGCTTTTGTGTTGGTTCCAAGTCTTTGCTATTGTGAATAGTGCTGCAGTAAACATACATGTGCATGTGGCTTTATAGTAGAATGATTTATAATCCTTTGGG